>NC_000013.11:79019468-79172309 GCF_000001405.40 Homo sapiens
CATTGTTGGGTCCCCAAAGAATGGCTGACTTTGTATGCACCTGGATTAAAAATGGCATCTTCTTCCAGGTCCTGGGTCTGTGAAAATGCCTGCAGCTTTTTCCAGTGTCTTTCCCTCTCAGAGCCTCCAAGCCTCTCCCCAAGTTAGCTCCAGAGCTTGGAAGAAACAAAAGTGCTCTTTTTTGGCTTGAGTTGCTTGAATCCCAGGTGGAAAGGTGAGTCACAGGGGGAGGCGCTCTGCCTCTCTCAGGTACTGGGGCTTCACTCACTTTTTCAGCCAGATGCTGTCACAGAGGCTGTTTGCTGGCATCCTCCTGCTAGGATTTGGGGTGTCCTTCATGGTTGCACTGTGTTGCCGTTTTTCTTCTTGCATTAGAACTCACAAAGTTGATCTTTATGTATTATGTTGCTATTTTCAAGTGGCTGAGGCATGCTTAAAGCATCTAATCCACCATTAAGGGTCCATCCAATCTCATGTGTGATCTATCATCATCTTCCCCAATTGAAATTTATTAATAACCCACATTCCTGCAAGAGTTGTTCACAAAACACATTAAAAAATAATTTTTGTCCTCAAATAACTTAACTGCTAAGAACATGAAATATAAATTGAGTTCTATATTTCTGGTTTGTCAGAGATGAAGTATTGAGTATCTATTTGTGCTCACTATTGAAATGATGAATTTTTAGGTCCTGCTGTATTTTTAATTCCACAGTTTTGAGTTGAGAAAAAGTGGACCAAAGTGTCATCACAGAAAAGTATTATATTTCCTTCTCACATAAAATTTTGTGAGTTCTCAATACATCAATATTATATATACAAAGGCATAGATATTTCTTCAGATTCAGATCATTAAAAAGTCATATAATTAATGTAACTTCTCTGTTGCTAGGTCCTTTGCAATGACACTCGTTGCCAGTAAGTGGCAATCATTCTCCAGAACGTTTGAGTGGATCCAGGGATCTGGAAGTAATTGATAACACCAGAAAGATGTGAGGAGGCAAATTGCCAAAGCTGACTTTTAAAATAATGACAATTCACTGTTGGTGAGAGAGTAAATTAGTTCAACCATTGTGGAAAGCAGTGTGGCAATTCCTCAAATAGCTAAAAACGGAATTACCATTTGATCCAGCAATCCCATTACTGGATATATATCCAAATGAATAGAAATCATTTAATATAAAATGAATAGAAATATTCTGTAAATATTATCAAGACACATGCAGGCATATGTTAACTGCAGCACAATTCACAACAGCAAAGACAAGGAATCAACCTAAATGTCCATCAGCAGTTGACTGGATAAACAAATGTGGTACATACACACAATGCAATACTATGCAGCCATAAATAAAGAACAAGATCATGTCCTTTGCAGGAACATGGATGGAGCTAGAAGCCATTATTCTTAGCAAACTAACGCAAGAACAGAAAACTAAATACCACATGTTCTCATGTATAAGTGAGTGCTAAATGATGAGAACACATGGACACAGAGAGAAACAACAGACACTGAGGCCTACCTGAGAGTGGAGGGTGGGAGGAGAGAGAAGATGAGGAAAAAATAACTAATAGGACTAGGCTTAATACCTGGGTGATGAAATAATCTGTACAACAAATCTTCATGACACAAGTTTACCTATATAACAAACCTGTACATGCAACCCTGAATTTAAAATAAAAGTTTAAAAAAGTGGTGACATTGGCCAGGAGTGGTGGCTCACACCAGCATTTTTGGAGACTGGAGTGGGAGGATCACTTGCGGTCAGGAGTTCAAAACCAGTTTAGACAACATAGTGAGACCCCACCTCTACAAAATGAAAATAATAATTTTTTAAAAATAAGTAAATAAAGGGTAACACACACAACATGTAAAATGGATATCATTATCACCAAAATCATTAACTAAACAGCCAATTGAGCATGATGTTTGGCTTCTATCAACCAGGAAAAACCTTGTCAGTAAATAACTTCTCACATGATCATCCTTGGTGATCAAAATCCCCCAGTGGTTACAGAGGGATATCTGAATTTGATGAAGTATATTTGGGCTCCTGGCAATATTTGTCATTGACTCGTGCAATACTAAATATTTTGTTTTGCCATTTTCAAGATGAAATTATACTTAAGAGTCTGGAGCTGAAAAATCAACTGATTCCTCTTGACCTTCACCTACCACTTGGGAAAAAAATTACTCTCAAAATACAAATATATTTGTTGCTTTATAACATTATGGATTATAATGCATGTTATTGCTACTACTGCTTTAATATTAAGATTAAGTCAATTAGAATTAAGTAAATCAAAGACATCATATGATCAGTATGTACTTTCATCATTATATATCGTTTCATAAAAATGTGGTAAAGAACAAGAACCCAACTGGTGTTGCGACCTATGGGTGGTGAGGGTGGTGGTCAGCAGAGCTGCAGCCAAAATCTGTTTTCCCACACAGAGTAAGAATTTATCTCTATTTTAAGAAAATTCCCAAATTATTTCTTATGTAGCTTTGAAATGGTCTCAAGTCAAAGTTGAAAGACTAATAGGCTTAATTTGTAGGTTAGCCTTATAACCAGTCTAAATATTCTACATTATAGAGATAAAATATTATGATTGATTTTCCCTTTATATTTGTAAAACTACAGATGAAATAAAGAGTCATCATATCATAGAGCATAATTCTGCCTCTTTTATAATATATTAGATGCCCAGCTCCTCAGAGAAAGTTAAATTAAGTCAATCTCTTAAAAAAAAAAAAGGATGGATCCTATAGATTGCTTCCAGTCTTAAATTATTAAGATTATTGAGTATTTCTCAAAATAAAAAAACCTCCAGCTCATTTCAATTAATTTCAAATCATAGAATATAAACAAAATAGTGATTTGCTTGATTCAAATATATGCAGAATTATTAGATGTGGTTTCCTTTATAGGATCCATTATTATAGCTGAATTTTAAATTCATTTTCTCTGTGTAGGATTTCATTATGAGGTACACATTCTGATTTCTTTCATTCTTTGGAGCTTTGTAATGCCCAAGGCTTTTTTCAAGTAGATATTTTT
Source organism: Homo sapiens (assembly GCF_000001405.40). Taxonomy (NCBI): domain Eukaryota; kingdom Metazoa; phylum Chordata; class Mammalia; order Primates; family Hominidae; genus Homo; species Homo sapiens. Next base: position 79,022,531 of record NC_000013.11, read on the forward strand.
TGAAACAAACAAAAATCATTTCAACTATAACTTCAGCTCGAAATAAAAACCTTAGGGTTTTGGTAGGCAAATAAATTCTGAAAATGTAAATCCTGAAAGAAAAAAGAATGAAACTTGACCAGTTTAACCATGAGATCTCAACATCACTTTTAAGCCTCATGGAAACATTGAGAGATTCTGTGGTATTCCCAAAAAACTAAGAGAAATTGATTAGGTTATGCATGAAAACACACTCCCAAGTAGTTCACTGCAGAGTAATGCATATTGAAAAAGATCGTTTAAAGTTCCCACACACTAATGGGTCTGATGGGCTCTTGAATTAGCTGGCATCTCTCCCGAAAAAGATCTAGGCGTCATTATGAACAACTCAATTAAGATGTCTGCTCAATGGGCGACATTGGGCCAAAAAGCGAATAGGCTGCTTGGATGAATTAATAAAGGCAGAGATAATGTGGAAATATTATAATGGCCTTGCATAAACCTTGATGAGTAGGGCTAGTTTCAATACCTCCTGCCTAAATTTAGACAAACAAATCAGCTTCTCCCATCATGGATCAGTTGACTCATTTCCAAAGCAACTCTCTGGATACAGTTTTCCCGAATCAGGGAGGCAGTAGCCAGGTGCCTTATAACATCAGAACCATTGCTCTTACCACATCTGTTTGGCTGCTGATGCTTTTGGATGGGATCTGCTCACCTTTTTTCTTCTGACTCAGCTTAGGCAAACTTGCAGCCTATTTGTAGAATGAAAATTGGGAAGAAAAAATGGGATGGCACACATAAGTCTAATACCCCAGGAGCAACATATTTATAAACATTTCATGGATTTATAATTCTGTCTTGGAGATGGGTTCAAAAAGTTTTCAAATACATTCAAGTTTTCCCCAATTAAAAAAAACATGAGTATGTTCATATAATGGAACATTGTAGAGCAATGAGTATAGGCAAACCACAACTACAGGCAACAAGAGAAATGAATCTCACAAACAATGTTGAGCAAAAGAGGCCAGCCAAAAATGAGAAGTTAGTGTATGAGTCCATTTATATAAAGTTCAAGTACAAGCAAAATTCATCTATTGCATAAGAAGCCAGGATATAAGTTACCCTTGGGGAACTGGTGATTGAAAGGGAGATTAAGGGAGGGAGAGGTTCCAGGTTGTTCATATTCTTTAGTAACTGAGTGCTGGTTTGGTGGGTTTATGCACTTTGTAAAAATTCATTGAGCTGTTCTCTTATAGTTTATGCACTTTTCTATGTGTGTTAACTATAATTAAAAATATAATGTTTTCTCAAAAACACCATGTTTTCCATTGCAAATTACAATAAACTAATTTCATCCAAGTCATTCCTTTTTCCTCCAATAGCTTCTGCCTCAAAATAAGGAGGAAAAAAAATGTACCTGTCTAAGGTAAGCATAATCAGTATTATGCAACCCACTTTCTGTGTAAGAAAATTTACATTTCTTTTAAAAAGCCTAAAATAAAAGAAGACACATTTAATCTCATGTCCTTTAGATCCATTTGGGCTTCTTGCACCAACTCTTGCCAAGAGTCAAACATATCTATGATGGCTGTGTTACATGTATGTCTGTGTGTGTGTGTGTGTTTATGTGGGTGTTTAGTTTTATGTTATCTTTTATTAATGATTCTTCCCAGCAGCTCAGTTAAGAAACAAATTTCCACAGAAAATGTTGAAATCAGATGCACCGAAGTTGTTCCCAGTTACCAAATGAGCTGGTATCAAATTCTCCCACCAGCTTGTGTGTCATGCTTAAACATTTTTAATCAAAGCTGTTTAGCATCTGACATCTCCTATGATACAGAAACTTAAAACCTAAAAAGGCCAGAGTCCTAGAAAAGCTAAGTGATCTGAGTCGTTTGGACTTTTAGCATTCAAATTGAGATTAGTTCCAATCTCTAAACTGTCAAACTAATGTTTAGTTCAGTAGACCAGTACTACTCAAATTGTTTGTTACTGGTACAGATATTGAGAATACGTGATTAAAACCTTTTATAACAATTTGGCATATTGCCATGACAGCCAAGAGCATGATTTTGTATTTTACCAAAATATTAGTCTATAATAGATTAAGGTTTAAAAACAAACAGATTAATAAAGAAATTGCCTTCCTCCATGGATTATTTGAATGGTGGGATACTAGGCTATGTAGAATCATAGCCTCTGGAAGAGTAATTTAGCATTTCAGTCAGGATCTCCTGCACTTTCAATTTTAGCCTCTGAAGCTCCAGGTAAGAGAGTTGAAATAAGCAAATCAACATGAAATCAAAACACACCCACATGGGAAATGCTGAGACTCACCTTTCCACACTTTGACATATTAATATGTTTCAACTTTCTATTTCCCTCTGGTGGCTCTTGGTTCATAAAACTGAGGAGGGCCTGAGAGACTAAACACCAGCAAAAGGCAAAATCGACTAAGTGCCTTGCCTTCCTCTTAAGTTGGTAGATAAAAACCTTGAATTCTTTTTGGTATTCTTGTTTCATCTGAGGTTTGTTTCGGATTTTTTTTTCTTTGTAAGATTATCTGCTGTATTTGGATATTGTCAGTAAAGAACTGTGATTTTAAAAAACTGTAATGTGGAGATACACATATATATGCGTATCAATTACTTAAGATTAACAATCATAACCATCAGATAGGCAAAGAGAGCGAAGTGGGTAGAATAACATAGCAATCTAAGAAATAAAATAAGGAAAATTTTTGTTGATAGTTTGTACTTTCTTTCACTTTGAAGGAGGGATACTTTGCTGTCTACCCTATCAGATGTCAAATCATTAACATCTACTTTTTGGATAAGTGTTTACCAAAATGTGAATTCAGAATTGGTCTAAGTGTGGTCCTCTAGAGCCTATCAATAAAGGAAGTGCAAAACAGCATTGATTTCACTGCTGCCAAAGTGCCCAGCTTCGATCTACGACCATATTGACCCCATTCCCAGAACAACATGTAAGAAAATTTATACAACAGCAGCATCAAGTCACTTCAGTTATGCCATCTGTGAATATCAAAGAGAATTTGATTTTCAGATTGTGCTAATACATTGGTTGAAAATACTGCAATTCCTGTCAAAACAATGCTGTGGGAGAATAGTGCAGATGCATTTGATAACTTTGATTTCCTCTTGGGCAATAATGTCATATGCATCCCCTCAACAGAGTTACATTAAGGAGATTTTAAGAGTTCCTGGATGGGGGGATGTGATGTTGAAACCAATTATAATTCTTAAGACTATATATTCCATGTTTATATTTAGTGACACCAAAAGGTGTTTATAATATGTTGTTAGTAAGAGACAAGTTATAATACAATATCTATAATGTGATTCCATTTTGCTAATGTGCACTGGGGGAAAATACCTAAAAGATATATATTCAAAAATTTAATGGCAGTGTCCTCTTAGTGATAGTATTATTCAGTTAGAGCTCCTCTAAAATACTTAGAATTGTGCTAGAATGGTATAATGCAGTGATCCCCAACCTTTTTGGCACCAGGGACCAGTTTTGTGGAAGACAATTCTTCCACAGACCGGGATCAGTGGATGGTTTCAGGATAATTCAAGTGCATTGCATTTATTGTGCACTTTATTTCTATTATTATTGCATTGTAATATATAATGAAATATTAATAATTATACAACTCACTATAATGCATTATAGAATCAGTGAGAGTCCTGAGCTTGTTTTCCTGCAACTACATGGTCCCATCTGGGGTGATGGGAGACAGCAACAGATCATCAGGCATTAGATTCTCATAAGGAGCACGAGACCTAGATCCCTCACATGCGCAGTTCGCAATAGGGTTTGTGCTCTCGTGAGACTCTAAGGCTGCTGCTGATCTGACAGGAGGAAGAGCTCAGGCGGTAATGCTCACTGCCTGACCACTCAGCATACCCTGTTCAGCCTGGTTCCTAACAGGTCACAGACCACTACTGGTCTATGATCCAGGGTTTAGGGACCCCTGCTATAATGGAGGTCACAGAAAAAATGGAGACTTGCTTCCCTTTCTTTCCCAGGTTACAGAATCTTCACAAGTGCTAGTAGAAGCAAGCATAGGATTCAGTAAGCAAATTTCTAAAAGAATATGAAATGTAAAAAGGGTGTGTGAAATTGTGTAGAATTGTCTCAAAAGTATATAAAAACTTCTATTCTTAAAAACGTTTCTTTTAAAAAGAAGAAGAAAGGAGAGCTTGAAAGAGTGTTGCTGGTCAGCTGGTTTGATTTCTGTCCCTACCACTTATGAGCAGGTTGCTTAACATCTCTGAGTCCCAGTTTTCTCTTCTGTAAAATGAGGATAATAGTAACTACCTCATAGAGACTTTAAGTAAAAGCAGACTCTGTACTAAAAGAGTTTATCACATTGCCTTACACAAATTAAATCCTCAGTAAATAGTCACCATAAAAATAATTGCTATTCTTAGAGAAGAGCTTTGCTGCTGTCCCCTCCAGACTCCTGTCATGGCCAACAATGAGCCCATTCCTCTGCTCTTTCCTTTGGCCCTCTTCCCATTTGGGGCCATATGACAAGTTCTATACCTGCACCATTGTATTTGTGCATAGAGAGGAAGCCCTTTCTCCCCTTTTACCAACATTTCCTTTGGGAAAAATCGAAGGCAACATATTATCCATATAACCAAATGTCATTGAGTCTAGTGCACTTAGAGGAAAGAAAGAGAACACAATGTCAGACTTTTTAAAAAATTAAATATAATAATGATGTTAATTAGGGATGGTAGAATAGCCTACATAATCTGCTCTGAACATTTCTGAACAAATAGGAGCTCCTCCAAAAAATCAGAGGATCTTAAAAAAGGAACTCTATATAGAGCAAGTAAGCATGTTGCAAATTATATGTAAGCCATTTTGGACAAGCACATTTCTTAGGTTCTTTATGGTAGTTCCTGAAGAAATTTGAGATGGGTGAGAGGATTCCATTCCTACCTCTGCACAATACAGCTTTGCCAATGAAAACTACTTCAAGCCCAATTCTTTCACACATTCAGCATTCATTAGCAAGCAACCCTCAACACACTTCATACAATCTGTTCAGTGAACTCAGTGTCCTTTTAGGCAATTCTGAGATGTGACCATATTTTAGAAGCCGATTTTTATTACCCTTATAGTTGGTACCAGGCCACTAAGCTTCTTAAACCAATAGCTGAGCTCAGGAGCCATTTAGGACTTCATATCCTGTGCCTAAAGGTACTGGCTACCAACAATACTGGATTCTTAATCCTCGTTCATGCAAGGAGAAGGAAAAGGGAATAGGATTTTAAAAAATATTTTGGCCAATTCACATGTTTTGTGTACTTTAACATCACAGTGAGAACCCATCTCTGATATTAAACATACTAAATAACAAGCCACCAATTTCACCAATAATAACCCATTTTTGACATTCACTGTGTTAACTAACATCACCTAACATGTTAGTTGAAATGGATAGTTTGCTATACATCTTGGGGTAGCCATCTCTGGAGCGTGGCCCATCTGATAAAATGTTAGCCCACCATCTTTGGAGAATGGATTCTTTATAAACACAATTGATTGTTTCTGGAACTAAACATTAAACCAGTTGGCACATACAGAGTACTAATACTCTACTTTCTCTACACTGAAGTATTATATACTATTAAAAACATGGTAATGAAATATAATGCATTTGAGTTAATTAAAAATGAGTAGCTCTTGAGCACCTATGTGTATGAGCCCTGCTAAAAACTTGGGGAGGATAAAAAGGATAAACAAGCACTTTGGTATTTAGCCATTCATTACACCAGCTTCAGTATCCTTGATTTATCAATCTAGAGATACACATGACTGAATCATTCATCAATTGTTTCCAGCCTCTTGTTAAATGTTCTTCACATCCAAATTCATTTTCAAGAATCTGATTTGTCACTTGGCCAGAATTCTCATTTTCTTGAGACCAATAGATAAAGCCTGTTTATAAATTTATTGTTTAACTAATATTGCCTTACCTGTTTCCTGGGGGGAAAAAGCAGCTATCTTTCATCTCAGTCCAAGAAGACTATAGGAACTTAGGCCTGTCCTAAAGAATAAAAATGCTATCTTTAAATTATGCCCCAGCCAAGATCAATTTTCCAGTTGAAATGAGCTTCAACAATCTAAGTAGCAGGATTATGATCTACATTGTATCTTTCCCTCTTTGTGAGAATTTAACAGTTTTGTGTGGGTCTACTCCTCCTCTTGCTTTCATCCTTTGTGAACATTTTAAAACTAACACTTAATAGAATGTGGCCTCTTCATTTCACACAATGTTAACACAAGGGGCTACAGTGTGAAGTAATGAGACTTTTGGGCTCTTGGTAGTAGATACAACTGTATCTACATATCTACTACTTTTTGACCATTTACAATGAGCCAGATGTTTTGCTAAGTACTTTACAAGCATGTCATTTAATCCTCACATCCTATGAGGGGGCTTTTATAATCTCTATTTTACAGATAAGATACTGAGGTATTAGAAATTTAAGCCACTTACCAAAGTTACACAGTTAGTGAATGATGGAAGTGAATTCTAACTCAGGTCTCACTCTCACAGCCAGCCCTCTTACTACTTCATTCTATCCTTAATCAGTCCTCTGTCCACATGGCACTAGGCCAGATACAGCCCTCTTGGCCACACTGCAACTACCTATTTACAATTTAAGTCAACCCCAAGGCTGAAATATGCACTTCATAATCAGGTCCAGGTTTGTGATTTAGTAAATTTTGAGTGAGTAAAATAAGATTCCCTAAAAACATTATTTTTAAAAGTTCTCTTTTGTTGGTTTTATTTCCACGATCCTTTCAACAGTTTATCGAGTAGAAATTTCCATTTCTGTGTGTCATCGAATAAATAAACAATGAACATCTCAAAATTCCGCCAGGTAATCCTGCCTGCAGAGTAGGCATCTTTGTGGCCCCTTTCCACAGTAGCCTTTGAAGAGAGTATGGATACCCTTCGTAGAGAAGCCAAAGTCTAATCTCTCCTACTTGCTCTTCATTCCTGCAATAGTGGAGGCAACTCCAATGAGAAAGAAAGGGTATATTTGGAGAGAAAAAAAAACAGAGAAATGGAGAAAACAGAAAGGTGGTTTTGTCTTCTTTTTAGAATTTCAAATAAGTATGTCATGGCCTCTCAGACAAATGCAATAATATGTCTTGCAACTCAGGGCTAACCCTAGGCAAAAACATAAGCTAGGGAAGCTCTATCCTTGGACTCTCAAGTCCTTTGTTCTATTTCTGGTTTTCTCCCCAGGTGTCTCCCTTTTAAAGCTCAAGTAGTACCTCCCTATTGAAGCTTATCCTTAAAAAGAAAAAGATATCTAATGGGCAATATTTTTTAAAAGTACTAATGTCCAGTGTTGGAAGAAGCAGAAAGACATATATTTTCTCATAAAATTTTGGTAAATTTTTATGTTAGCATATTCTTTGTGGTCAGCAACTGGTAACACTTTATCAACTGCAAGTAAAATGTATATACCTGTAAGTTAAAATATTCCACTTCTAGAACTTTATCCTAAGAAGTATTAACTTATGCAAAATTTACAAGCTATAAATATGATATCACAGAATTTCACAAAAAAAAAGCTAAATAAACAAGAATATAAAGTTGGTGAAAACAAATTATGGCACAACCTTATACTAAAATATTAAGTAGCTACTATAATTATACTAGAAAAATACCTTATTTCCAAAAATATTTGATAAAACATTAAAAACTTATAGTAAAGTAAAATATTATATGCATAAAATACAAATTAAAGAGTTTAAGTTCCCCTAGAATTTAAAAATTATCTTTAAGTAGTAGGAATACGGGTGACTTATTTTTGTTTTTTTCCTGTTTATCTGTATTTTGTGGTTTTTAAACTGAACATGGAATACCACTGTAGTAAGAAAAAAGGGCATTAATATTTTATTTTAAGAAGAAAAATCAGATACCCTAAGTTGTGCATTTAAATGGTTCTATTACTTTGGTTTCTGCATGTGAAATAAAATATATATTTTTTCACCTAGGAAAGAAACTGTTAGCATTAGAGACTGTGTGCAAAAGGATTTTCTCTAACAGACATGCTTTCAAGGACATAAAATAGCAGCTGCTCAGAGGCTCAGTCAGGCCCCGTGGAAGGCTGAGACTTGCCACATGTGCCTCCTTGTGTCTGGGAGTCCCCGTGAAGAGATTTATATCTACAACTCCAAAACCCAGAGTGCTGTAATCTTTCCAATTTGCACTCAGTAATATATGGCATATGTTTTTCTTACCTGGAAATGATAGACTATTAAGAAGAGAAGAAGAGGTGGTAAAGGAGCTTTCAAAGGAAAAAAAGGAAATCACCTTAGAGTGTGCTGAAATTCCTTAGATAGGTGCTCACAGTCATGCCAACCAGATTTCCCAGGTGCACTGTGCCCATCAGCACAGAGGGTCTCGGCCTAGGGCAATTCCACCTCGTTTTCAAAACCCAATTCAAATATCTCCTCCTTCCTAGCCACTCCCCTGCAGCCCTCTGCCGTGCCCCTCACTACTCCAAGAAGTCAGAATCAGAATTAATTTCTCCCTTCTATGATAAAGTATTGCTAATACAGGATGTATCATAATGCCTTATGAGAGGTGCCTTTACAGTTTATTTTTCCTTGTCCCACTCTCCAATCTATTCCTACCATTGGGAACTTTAAGCAGAGAAAGGGCAGGTAGAAGAGGGCCGTGACACTAATTATTTAGTCCCTACTATTTATCAGGCACCATCTTTAATAAATGCTTTTACTTATACTACCTTATGTTACTATCCCAATAATCTCAAATGTGTGCAGTATTATTTTCACTTTATAGTGGAAGTATTGGACTCCCAGAGAGGTTACACAATTTTCTCAAAGTAGCACAGCTGTTGCAATAAACTGAATTTTATCTTCCCAAAAGTTCATGTGTTGAAGCCCTACACCCCCAGTGTAATGGTATTTAGAGATGGAACTTTTAGGAGGAATTTAGGTTTAGTTAAGGTCATGAGGGTGGTACTTTGTGATGGGATCAATGCTCCTATAAGAGGAAACACCAGCATTCTGGCTCTTTCTCTTTCTCTCCCCACTGTGTGAAGACACATGGAGAAGGCAGCCAGAAAGAGTCCTCACCAGAACCCAACTGCACCAGCACCCTGATCTCAGACTGCCAGCCACTGGAAGTGTGAGAAAATAAATTTCCCTTGTTGATAAGCCACCCAGTCTGTGGCAATTTCTTTTTATGGCAGCCCAAACAGACTAATGCAGCCTGTTGACCAAGCACTTACAGCCTGACTTATTTTTCCCCTGTAATACTGTGATGCCTCACAATGCGAACTGTTCATCAGTTGTCTTTATAACTCCAGTTTCTATCAGAGTAACTGGAATATAGTAGAAATCTAACGGATTGGCATTGAGTGTTAGATGACTGAATAATTAAATGATTGAAGAAAGATAGAAAAATAAACATTTAAAACTGAATTTTTACAATTCAGACATACACAAGTTTACAGATTTTTAATTTGGGGCAAACGATTTCTGATATCCATCTATATCTATATCTACATCCATATATCAAATCTGTGCAACTTTCCAAGTTGCAGAGAACTTACCTGTGTGATCTGGATGGTGTATAGAATAACACGAGCATTTGTGAAGTGATTTTGCTAAAAAAGATGAGTTTTTCCTTGAGAGTCAATCAGTTGGAAACATTGGAAAGACACATTAACCTTTAGAGGTCATTGCTTTTTTTTTTTTTTTTTTTTTTTTTTCTGAGACGGAGTCTCGCTCAGTCACCCAGGCTAGAGTGCAACGGCGCAATCTCGGCTCACTGCAAGCTGGGCCTCCCGGGTTCACGCCATTCTCCCGCCTCAGCCTCCCGAGTAGCTGGGACTACAGGCACCCGCCACCATGCCCGGCTAATTTTTTTTGTATTTTTTATAGAGACGGGGTTTCACCGTGTTAGCCAGGATGGTCTCAATCTCCTGACCGCGTGATCCGCCCACCTCGGCCTCCCGAAGTGCTGGGATTACAGGCGTGAGCCACCGCGCCCGGCCCACTGCTTTTATAAAAGAAATCATGCTTTCAGAATGTAGACATAGTAGAGATGGATCATACAAAGAGATTTAGGCTTGAATTAAGCAGTCATTTTTACAGCAATGACTATTATAATATTTAAAGAATTTTATTCAGACTAGAGCTTGAGCCTTACTGAGGTGACTTTCAGAAAGTATAATGTGGATATATACTAAATGCAAGCATTTTGTGTGAGTAATGACAATTATGAGTTTCTTCTTTTTTTCATCATTTTTACAATGTTTAATTTGCATATAACAGTGACAATGGAAATATTTAAAAGTATCCTATCATTCTTTGTATTAGTGATATAGTTGCAAACCTAATGACCTATCATTTCTCGCATCAACAGGTCAGGGATACGGGCAAGTAGTGCTTCCTATCATCGGTAAGTTGGTGAGTAGGACAGAAGGGATCATTGAAACTCCTCCCAGCTTTCCCATCCAATGATTCTGTTTCTATAGTTGCAATAATCAAAGTAAGAAAAGAAGGCTCTCTCTCTCTCTCTCTCTCTCACCCTTCCCAGGGTCATGAAATTCTACCCCATCTTCAAAACTCAATCCAAATAGTTCCTTTTTTCTTGATGTTCCCCCACATCTTCTCCGTTACGTCCCTCAGCTCTCTGCCCACAGAGGAGAATCAGAATTAACTTTCCTTTTCCATGAGCATCCGCAAGCACTTTGTTCACATTGCTAACATGGAGTGAATCACAGTGTGTTAAGAGAAGTGGCATTCTAGTGACATTTATTCCTCCTTGCTCCACCCTTTCCAGTCTCCCTCCGTGCCAGTAAGTGCTAGGAAGTTACCAGGAGACCACTCTCCATCAGGTTTAATCATCCTGAGGTAGCAATTGAGTGGTTCACAGTCTGTGTTCTTAATCTGTGCTTTTCTTAAAGCATGGGGCAGAAGTTATTTTATGTCTTTAAAAATTAAAATGGCCAGAGCTTAGCATTTTTAAAGATTATAAATGCAAATGTCAGCCCACTCTTGATTAGAAAATGCATAACCTTTCTTATTTGAGGTGATTATTTATACTGTGATATAGTTTGTAATCACATCAAATGTTCTTTTTTAAAAAAAAGTGATTCTTATTCTGCCACATTTTCTATAATTCCAGTTATATAATCATTAAGAGAACAAGATTTCAAAATATTCCTGATGCCATTTGTTCATTTAATTAGTTATAATATTTGCAATGAACAAGTCCAGTAGCGGAACTTTAGAGGGGTACAGGAGCTTTCCTGTCAGCTTTAGAACCTGCAAGCTGAGAGTCAGCAGCCCTCAGTTTACATTTGGAGACCGATATCATCAAAAAACCATCAAATGCCCATGACAGCAGCAAGAAGAAAATCCAATCTCATACATCCATTGTTCTCTCCATTAAAATTTCTTCCTTTCCTGACTATTCATCGAGTTCTCTCTTGCAAAAGAGTAATATGTATGCCTGCTTCCAAACATACAGACGAATCATAGATCTCAATCTCGTTCTCAGTTCCATAAATGTATTAATGTGTGTGTTCATGTGCTTATATTCTACTCTATCAGTCAATATTTTTTAAAGATATAAATGTTGAAAAAAAGATGTAAAAAGTAGAGTTGATAGGAATCTCATAACAGAGCCATTAAGGGATATAGCTAAAAGATTAAAGGTAAATATATATTATGAGACATAGTAATAAGGTGGTCAGGCATTCCTGAAATTAAGCTGAAATGTAATATACAGAGATGAAAGGAAATTAAATATGAAACCCTGAGATACTTATTAAGCCATCAGTGGGAATCTAGACGATGATGTCACAACCAGGAGAGGAAAGACGACTTGTGCAAAGTTGGACGAGATCCAGTTTGCGCTGTAGATTTATGCAGTTAATTTTGTCCCCTGACTGCATTCAGATGAGCATTTCTCCTCGACATACACCAAGAAAATTGCTGCATTATAGCTGTGTTAATGGTAATCAGCATGCTAATGAGCACCAGAAGGTCGTTACAGCAAAGAGAGGTTCAAAGATGTATAACCTAGAGGAAACAAGAACGTAATTCTTCAGGGAATGCAAGTGTCTTGTTTGTAGGTCATAGATTATTTGTTTTGGTCACTGCATTGCACAGGGAGTTTAATTTAAGCAGAAAAAAAATGAAGCTGTTTGAATTGTGAGAGCAGCCTAGCTTAATTAAGAAAAGTAACACTGGATAGCTTTGGATTTGTGGTAAAAAAAAAAAAAAATAGAATGCTTCAGTAAACCTAGGATGTTATTAAATAGTGCTGTCCAATGTGGAATTATATCTGTGGTTATGCAGAATGTGAGGCTTTTATTTGTATTGTTTTTTAGTCAGAAGGTGCTTTGTGGCTCTCCGGCAAGGACAGGATCAAAATATCAGGGGTGAAAAAGGTAACGGTCAGAAATTAAGTCATAGTATGTAAAACAATTTCAGAGTCCAAGCCTTCTTAGAGAATCAGGAGATATTTCATTGTTTATTTCACATGCATGTTTTGGCTCCAAAAGGTTAAGTATTTATTGACACTGACCAAGGAGAGTATTCAATCAGAAACCCCACTGCTATTGCTTATTAAAAAGCTCAGGGGCACAAATGCTGTGTAGATTTTAGGTTAAGCTAGGTAGTTCTTGTATTCCCCCTAGGAACTTCCTCGCCACCACAGATTCAGGGGACAACATTAGCTCATCAATTCCTATATGGTATCAATAGAAATAAAATTATAATATCACTTGCTTAAATTATTATAGAGCTTCTGTGTTTTTGTATAAATAGTAATTTGAATACACTATTTTGCTAATATGCTCTTTGGATAGGTTTTATAACCAAAGAATGGTACCTTAGAAATGAACAATAGTAATAATTTGCATTTCCCTTGTTGGCTAGCACACGGAATTTTTCATATATTTCAAATGAATGTTTCTTTAATCTCAAAAAGTACAAGTAAAATGGCTCCTGACATATAGATAGATGATAGTTGGATATAGGTATATACACATACATACACACACACAGTTGACCAGTTATAATAATGACATCTTACAATTGCCAACCTAATACCTCTCAAAATTAGAAGTCCATATTTTTTTAAGGTCTGTGGGTTACCATCCTTCGTGATATAAGGAACACCCTTTGTTCTGACTTCTCAAGGTTAAACACCAAAGAGCTCAGTCCTAAAACTTCCTCACTGCAAAGCAAAAATAAACTTTGGATTAAACCAGTGTTTTAATTGTTTGGGTCCATGCTATTACCTTTTTTTAAGAACATTTGGGACAGATATTTACTCATAAAATCTACGATCTCATCTCTACTGAATAATTTGGCTGGAGAGGAATTGGTTTAAGGCCAATTTAGAAAAACGAAAAAGCAAAAAGAAAAGAAAGAAAAGAGGAAAGACAGCTGGCGAGGGATGGAGGAAGGAGGAAAGGGAGATAGCAGGAAGAAAGGAAGGATAGAAAGAAAAGCTGGTCAGGGTGGCTCACACCTGTAATCCCAGCACTTTGGGAGGCGGAGGTGGGTGGGTCACTTGAGGTCAGGAGTTCGAGACCAGCCTGGCCAATATGGTGAAACCCCCCTCTCTACTAAAAATACAAAAATAAGAGGGGCATGATGGTGCATGCCTGTAATCTTAGCTACTCAGGAGGCTGAGGCATGAGAATCACTTGAACCCAGGAGGCAAAGGTTGCAGTGAGCCGAGATTGTGCCACTGCACTCCAGCCTGAGTGAAAGAGCGAGACTCTATCAAAAAAAAGAAAAAGAAAAAGAAGGAAGGAAGAAAAAAGGGAGGGAGGCAGGGAGGCAGGGACTATGGCAGTGCAGGAATATAAGAATAATAAATAGGATACTTTAATAATTTATTAGTATAATAGTATGTCGCTGAGGAAATATAATTTAAAAATGAAAATCTTCCTCCACCCAGAAAACCTCTCCACAAAGGTAGTAGAGAAAACAGTTTCATTGTTGACTAAGTATTAAACCAGAATGTGCATCAGCACATTATAGGTAATCCACTAAGAGATTGCAACAATAGTAAGGAATTACACCCTTTTATAAAGCTAAGCAGATACAATGCATTACATACATGTTCTGAAGATAAGCAATAACTAGTCTTGAAGTAAGAGGGCCATATTTTGTCACACTGTTCATTCTAACTTTATCTGGTAATTAGGGTTACCATCTGTGTTGGCTAAGTGGCTTTATTCAGAGCAAAACCAAGTTCTAATATCTTAAAAACAGAAGGTTTGCAACTTGGAACAAGGCGCACACCTAAGTTAGGGTTCTTCCTTCTCACAGAAACTGGGAGATAGAAACGCTGGCTCCTTTTACAATTACATTTCAAAGAGATGTCTCCCAGGTTCTAGAGAAAGCTTTCCTAGGTCATAAAGCTGACAAAAGGACTATTTAGTTTTCAAAATGATTTGTATACATTTCGAAGGGATAAGAAAGTACAGGCAATTAGGGGAATCTCTTTCCTCATTTCAACAGGGGAAATTAAGCTTTTTATTTTTAATTTGCATTTGTTCTTACAATGGGCACCACTGATTTTAACCCAAAATAGCACGTTGGGTTCACTGTGGTTTTAGCTACTTGTCTTGATAGGAGGGTGAGGGTGAGCAGGAGTCTCAACTGCAGGTGCTTTGAATCAGAGAATACAACAGCCTCCCAGGTAGGAGCTCTCTGGGTCCACTTGTGAGTCTAACATTTATAGGAGTTCTTTAAGTGTCCAGCTCCGTGTGTGCAGGAATGCTTGGGGAGCCTGTTGGCATGCTGGCCTGAGAATCCCAGGGGGTGGGGCTAGGAGTCTGCCTTTCTAACCTGCTCCCAGGTGATGCTGCTAATCCTGGCTCCAGCCCCACACTCTCAGTAGCAAGCATCTGGCTCAGGTATCCTCACAGGTTAAAAACCCTCCATTTACCTGATCTGTGCCTTAAGTATATTACTTAGCCTCTTCAATTTCAGGGGAAGAAGCCCCATAAATGGACAAATGTTCTACTAGAAAGTTGCAGGGACATGGATGAAGCTGGAAACCATCATTCTGAGCAAACTATCACAAGGACAGAAAACCAAACACTGCATGTTCTCACTCATAGGTGGGAATTGAACAATGAGATCACTTGGACACAGGGCGGGGAACATCACACACTGGGGCCTGTCAGAGGTAGGGGGCTGGGGGAGGGATAGCATTAGGAGAAACACCTAATATAAATGACAAGTTGCTGGGTGCAGCACACCAATATGGCACATGTATACCTATGTATCAAACCTGCGTGTTGTACACATGTACCCTAGAACTTAAAGTATAATATAAATAAATAAATAAGAATAAATACATAAAAGAAATTGTTTCTTGGAACAGTGGAGACCTAGAGCCTTACAGAGGTCTTAAAGCACATCCACCTTCACCCTGAAAGAGAGAGATCCATCCTGCCCTTGAATCATTTGGGGTCCCATGGTTAAGGTAGTACATTCACCTGGTCAACTGCTAACAAGCCACTTCCTTTTACATTTTACCCATTGGGTCTACTCATGCTGTCTGGAACTAGAGAATAAAATAAAACATAAAGAGATAACATCTCCGTAATGCTTTAGAACTTATAGAGCAATTTTATGTTGATTATGTGATTTTATCAACAGAACCCTTTATATATTCATAGCCAGCAGTTTATCCCCACCCACACGAAGACTTAACTTTGTCTTATCTTCCACAAGTGAAACTCCCCCAGTGTTTTCAGATTTCTCATCCCCTTGACTTCCCTCATTTATACTCACTACAGTTTTTAGTGCCTACTGTTTAATTGGGTACAAATTAATGGCCATTAAAGAATTAGGCCTTATCTCAAAAATACCTCCTAGTAAAGATTTCCTTAGCATAAACACTTCTTTTCATTATGTTAATATGCTGTGTTAGTAATAAGTACTTTCTTCTTATACATAAGAACAAACAAAATATTCCCATAGTATGCAGGAGGAATAATACAGGCATGTTAAACATTTTCCTCCTTTTCCTGAACAGGTATGTTATAAGTATGTTGATATTTTTCATGTCATACTACACTAGAGGAACCAATACTTCAGTGAAAAAGGAACCATGTTATGAAATCCTGAACTGTCTCCAAACTCCACCCCGTGCCCATAGACAACATGGAGGGAGTGTGTCTTAGTCTGCACAGGCTGCTACAACAAAATACCACAAACCAGATATAGCTTATAAATAACACGAATTTATTTTTCACAGTTTTGGAGGCTGAACAGTCCAACATCAAGGTGCCAGCAGATTTGGAACATGGCAAAGGCCAGCATCCTGGTTTACAGACGGCCTTCTTTTTACTGTAACTTCACATAATAGAAGGAGTGAGGGGTCTCCCCTGTGCCTTTCTTATAAGGACACTAATCCTATTCTCGAGAGCTCTGCCCCATGAACTAATCACATCCCAAGGCCCTACCTCCTAATACCATCACTTTCCGGGTTAGGATTTCAACATGCGAATTCTTGGGGAACATAAACATTCAGACCATAACAGGTCAAAATATTGAGTCACCTCATCTTGGTTGGTGCAGGCTCTAAGATAGCCCAACATTTTCCTTGCTTCTATCCCAAATAGAGCGTCCACATATAAAGAGGAAGGAGTAAGTGGCTTCACAATTCTGGTGGATAATGGAGACTGGCACCAGCTGATGTGCTATTTCTTGGTATGCCATGGCTAGCAACTGCACACCTCTGATGAGAAGTCCTAAGTTCACCTGTCGGCTGGGAGTCCTGTAGGTGATGAACTTGGGGTTATTCTTTTGGCTCCTGGGAAAATTCTGCATGTCCACCATGTCCACTAGCCAGTCCCTTTGCTCGTGGAACTCAGTCCTCTGCCTTGATGTCCTGAAGACAGGTCAGCTATGTGTCCACTTAGATTCGACTGTGCATAGAACCTGAGAAGGCCTCAAGAGTACCAGCAAGTTATTTATGCTGACTGCAATGCTATTCCCTCCTAATAAGATTCTTGGCAAATTAGCATTTTTCCAGAATTCCAAATGTGAGAGTGGGACATGAGCATTCTGCTTTCACTGCTCCCTGACACCTACTTAATGTCAGTGCCCCCTCCCCCACAGCCACATCCCCAAACCAACCCCAAGAAGGGAAAACAGGACAACAGCTCACTCTCCTCCTCTCTCTCTCTTTCTCTCCACAATCTTTTGGGGCCAAAGAAGACTATGTCTTCCCCACTTCTTTCTCCAGCCTGAAGACCTCTTCTACATCAAACTCATACCTGCTAAACCTGCTTAATGGCATGCCAGAAGAGCAGATGAAGGAATTTAGATAAGAAGCCTCCATTCTTGCTGTAAAAATTCCATTTTTTAATGCAAGAAGCTAAATATTACCTTATTTCTCTATGCATTCTGGGCAGGCACTTGTTATTGCCTCTTCAAATGCTTCTTGTCTTATATCTTGCCACAAGAACCCTGATTTTGTATCATGCAGCCATATGCATCAGAAGAGGCTCAACTCCTCTCTAATAAGTTTGCTGATATTGCCCGTCTGCTAATGACTCCTGGGATGTGGCAGCCAACTTGAGACCACGAAGGGATCTACATGTATGGGAGACAGATGACACTGAGGATGGTGGAGCAGATAGATATTCCCCCAACACATTGATGCCATAGTCTGTGATGCCCCATGGCCCATACAGAGGGTTTATCGGGTGCCTAATGTTTGCAACAACTGTGGAGCCTATGCACATTACCGCTTCCCACATACATCCCACAGCAAACAATAAATGTATACATTTAATCTGAACCCCAAGCTCATCTCCTGCTTGATGCTTGGGACTGAAATGATGTGAAGGCCTCCTGAGAGCCCAAGAGCCAAAAGTATTAGTTGACTGAAAGTCAGCTTTCCGTTATGTCATGTAAAAGAGCCCTGGCCTCTGCATCAGAAAACAATGCTGTGAGCTGTGTTGAGGTCAGGTAACCTGACTGAACCTCAGTTTCCATATGGAAAAAGAAGGTAATAAAGCCCATTTCACCTACCTCAATGGGCAGATATAAGAAATAGGTGAATTAAAGCACCTGAATATTCACTTGTCAAGCACCTGATAATTTGCCAAGCAAGAGTTTTGCTAATTACATTATCCAAAATCTTCTCCGAGCTCTGCAGCATGAGTTTCCTATGGAACCCTCCTGTAATACCCTCAAGAGACACTCCCAGTACTTGAGACCTTCCAAAGACCTGACATTAATGTAGTGTGTGTGTGTGTGTGTGTGTGTGTGTGTGTGTGTGTACCTGTGAATGCCCAATATGTCTATTCGCCATATTGTATCTCACATCTTAAAAAATCAAATTACTTATTATATCAGAAATAAAAGACTTTTTTGTAATGGCTACCAGACAGTAGAGTAAAATACGCTTTAAATGACTAAGAAAGAGCATAATGTTCTAGTTTACTAGAAGCCTAGGAAACCTAGTATATCCAGCAGCAATTTTTCTTCTTATTCTTTCTTTGCAATGAAGCTGAGAATAATGCCCTTAGGTTTTTCTCACTATGTATGTAGATTGGAAGCAGGAAGGAGCTGCAATGGTACAAATTCAGAGACACTACAATTAAAAAGACTAAGGATAATTTGATGATCTTTTAACACACAATTTCTTTACTATCAAAGTCACCTCAAATCAACAATTTTATCATAATGGAATTCAGCAAAAACATTATTTTAGGCATAATAAAATTCTATAGAAGGAAACATATTAGATGAAGTATTGCTTGTGGTGTAATTTTAATTCTGAAAGATCTTGCTAAGAGGGCTTATTTAAATAGGTTCTCCCTGAGATGAATATTTAGGGGAAAAAATTCCTACAGGATGATTTATAGCAAAATTATATGAACAGAATGAAGGACAGAAGAATTTTATTAGAAAAGGGTCTCATTTCCACAAAATATAAATTATACCTTTTAGAAAATATATTGAATTTTATTAATATTCTGTAGACAGCCTGAAGTGTTAATCTCTACCCCTACCTATAAGACTTTCATTATGATGTACAAGGTGTATTTACCCTGTAACCAAATAATTTTTGAGCAACTCGATGGAGCCTCTAGTTTACATATCCCATAAAATATTGTTATGGCAGTTAGAAAATTTATATTTTGTATTGTTCACCACTTTTAATGATCTGTATGTGAGTAGTGTGTATTTTACATATGTATTTGTGCTTTTTGGTATTACCATACAAGAACACATATTAATGATGAACTTGTATTTGATATCTGAGAAAAATGTGTTTCCAAAGTTCACTGTTACCGTTATTATTCTTTTGACAAATTCTTACAGTAGAGACACAATCAATTTGAGTTTTTTCAGTGCAATGATTAAAATTCTGCCTTCACTCATCTTGAAATTTATAGTCAGAGAAATTACTTAGGGTAAACTATTGAGTATTCTATTTCTGCTTGGCATTTAAAAGTGACCTCATTTAGACCTTGGTAACTAATATTTTTGATGAGGAAATTGACTTATTCTGATACAAAGAAATTGGTTATAAATCCTCTCCCAGTCCCTATCAGTCCTGAAAATTGAGGCTTCATTAGGATGGTGACTTGTTGTAATGAATATAAGCAAACTGACCACTGGTGCAGTATAGGTTTCAGCAAGAATAAGCTACAATTTATATTCTGTATTATTAGAAAGTGAAAACTAAGAAAGAATGAGGACGAAACCAGGAGACTAAAGAGGAAAGACTAGGTCCATTTGGACTTTTAAATAAACATGAATGTTAAATGCTCTCTTTAATAAACACATATAGAATAGAGTAATTGACATATTTCACCCATCTAGGACATTCAAAATGGAACACAGGCTTCCTGTTTCATTCAAAATATCTGTAAAATATAATACTACAAAAATGATTATTCTCTAATAATAAAACAGTAACAACCCGGTTTTAAAATCTGGGCCTGAGTTAAAAACATTTGCCAAACCTTTCTTACACCTTTTCAAACACCTTGAAAAAAATATCTCATTGATTTCTCACTGAGTGCCAATCAAGGTCAGCTTCCATTAACATCTCCGTCAAGAGGAGAACAATGAAGACAGAGCTTTTCAAAGTACCTGGCTATTTGAAAACATAGCCTTGGCATTTACCCAAGTCTTTAGATAAATTTGAAGTCCCAGATTTACACACATGCATAGGAGGGAAATCTCAGGCATTTATTATTGGTCCAAATGGCAAACATCTCCAGGCAATAAAATAGAAGTCCAAAGATACATTTTCAGCACAAATATTTCTGGCCAACCCTAAGAACACATGTTCAAATCTAAGAATCCACAACCTCTTAATATAGATTAAAAAAAATTTTAAACAAAACATTAGATGTGCTAACATCACTTAACACAAGATCTGCCCTATTAGCAAATGTTCAAGTATACAATACAGCAGTGGTCCCCAACCTGTTTGGTACCAGGGACTAGTTTCATGGAAGACAATTTCTCCAAAGACGGGGTGGTGCGGGGTATGGTTTTCGGGGTGATTCAAGTGCATTACACTTATGTGCACTTTATTTCTGTTATTATTACATTGTAATATATAATGAAACAATTATATAATTTATTATAATGTAGAATCAGTGGAGCCCTGAGCTTGTTTTCCTGCAACTAGCCAGTCCCATCTGTGGGCAATGGGAGACAGTGACAGATCATCAAGCATTAGATTCTCATAAGGAGCACGCAAGCTAGATCCCTCACATGCACAATTCACAAAGGGGTCTCACTCCTACAAGAATCTAATGCCGCTGCTGACCGACAGGAGGCAGAGCTCAGGTGGTAATGTTCATTCACCCACCACTCACCTCCTGCTGTGCAGCCCTGTTCCTAACAGGCCATGGACTGGTACCAGTCCGTGGCCTGGGGGTTGGGGACCCCTGCAATACAGTATTGTTAACTCTAGGCACTATGCTCTATGTTAAGTGTTCTTACCACACACACAAATATTAATAATAAAGAGGGTAGAAGGAAACTTTTAGAGATAATGTATATGTTTATGGCATAGATTGTGGTGATGGTTTCACTGGTATATACTTATCTACAAACTTATCAAGTTGTATACATTAAATATATACAGTTTTCTGTATTATGCATATCTCAACAAGGTTGATTTCTAAAATAGAATAAGTAAACCTGAAGACCTATACGGACCTATTTTATATGTCGCTAAAATAATAATTGGGACAGTGAAGAAAGAAAAAAAGATTTTAGGATTATCTCTATCAAACTGTATGGAAACACCAGCATCACTCTCTAACCATTGGCTTTCAGAGCTGTGTGAATTCTGAAAAGATATTCTTGTTTACAATGCACATTTTCACAACTGAGGTTACAAACTCAGAGTTGTGACATGTTTAAGGTCACACAGTCAACTTATGGCAAAGCTGGGACTTGAATCGGGTCTACTTATATCTACATATATTTTCAACTTTTCTGTTCTTCAGGAGCACAGGGCTCAGGCAAAGTTCAACAATGATGATCCAAGACCTCAAATATAAACTTTGCTTTTAAGGGTAAACAAAACAAAGTTATTTTCAATCAACAAAATTTGATTCTTCCTCTACATCCTTCTTGGTGCCCCACTCTGGTTTTCGTAACTTATCCTCACCAGTAAAAAAAATTGAAGTATGGAGATATTAAAACTGGTGACTATAGATAAATCTTCAATCAATTTCAAATCATACGTGTGTAGTGTGGCCTCTTATCTTTTATTGTAATTTCTTTTAGTTTTATTCATTTACGTATTTGTTTAACCTGCACCATATTCCAAAAATCACTTAAAAGGGCATAGAAGTAACCTATCATGGCATGATTTTATTGAGTCTCAACATTTGTCAATCAAAAATTAATATGATAATAAGGTAACTGAACTGTTTTCCTTCTTGGTTCCATCTGATGACTTCTGGTGACCCATCACTTCTCTGAATACCCAAGATCTGCCCAAGGCAACATGGAAAAGTGAGGTCAGAGTTACTCACATAATGTAATTATCCAATAAATCAAACACAAACTTCTTGCTTCATTCACGCTGCTTGTATTTTCACAGAACTGACGCAAATAAGAGAATAAAGATTACTCATTGTAAGGTTTACTTCTAGATGCTGTATTCTAGGTCTTCATTTAACTAACACGGGTTTCCTAAAAGCTTCTCTAAGCAATTGCAAGCCCTTAAAATAACCAGTTCTGTGGAAACTTCTTTGCTTATTCAATCACATGCTTTGGTCATTCAAGCTTTTGGCAGTGAAAATTTGGGATACCAAAGGGAAAAAAATAAGACATGAAATATTCTCTTTTGGCAGGATTTGGTGACTTTAAAATAAAAAGTCAACATCCCCTCTACTCTAAAGCTTAAAGCTCCACGTTCAGTGGCATCTTTTCAAATGACCTGAATTGTATTCCTCACTTCCCTTGATTTATCCCTCAGTTGGCCCCTGCAGAAGAGCATCATTTTTTTTTCCTGCCCTCTGTCTTCTATATTTCATTTCAGGTGTCTATCGAGGCAACGAAAGATAAAGCTCTCTGCTTTCCCTTGTACTAAAGTTCTATATGGAATCAGTTCACCTGTCTGTCACTCCTCATTAAATTCTTACCCTCTTCATTCACATCCTGATCTTTGAAAATGAACATTTGCTTAATAAATGTTCTCAAGACTAACAGTGCAGAGTGAAAATCCCACACAGCAGTAAATTATTAACTCAGTCACAGAGGGAGTGCCATATATGACTTTTCAGAATGAGTTATTATGTGGATCATCATGTAATTATGAATTTTTCAAGCCATGATAGAGGAAAATTGAATATTTAATATTTTATGGACATATTCTACACTGAGGACATCTTTCAAAATTTTATGATAATTTTTAGAGTGAGCAAAGAGCAGAACAAAAGTTACAAAATAATTGCAAACTTGAATATTTAATCACTAGAGACATTGTTGGTTATTTCTCAAATTATATATTGTAACCAAGGCTGTGAACTTTTAATCATAGTGAATTCAAGTGGGGAAAAAAGGGGCACTAAAATCAATCTATAGATATGTTTTGGTTGTTTAATAAATAAGAACACAGAGCTTAATGATGTCAAATTGAAATCTTGGAGCATAACTATTCATGTGAGAGAAAATATTGAGTGATTTGTTCTGAATAAGCTATTGTTGAACCAAAAAACATTTTTAATGACCCATTTTTAAATATTCAAAATCAACACCAAGGAATAAACACAAAATATCATAAAATTCTTGATTGAAAAGAAAATGGAAAAATAAAGTTGACATTTTTCAAAAAAAGTTTAAAACTGTAAAAACTTTTATAGCTTTGATAAAAATATTAAAGGAAAAATAAAAGACAATTTTATGTCAAATATTAAACAATTTTTAAATGAATTTTCATATGTAATTCATGCAGACAAATACATTCATATGTATAGCATAATATTTAGCACTTCATTTATCATTAATGTTTCAGCTTGGAAAGTAAGAATATTTAGTAATCCCAAATTATTTCCTAATATGTCTTCCTTGTTGCTGAAGAGAATCATTTGTTTGGTGCTAATACTAATAAACCTTAAGGACACTTAAACCTGGAGGTTCTCAGCCCAGGTTGCAAACTGGCATTGCCTAGTCCTACCCCCAGAGATTCTGAACTGACTGCTGAAATGAGGCTGGGCATTGATATATTTTTAAAGCTTCAGATTATTTTAATTTTCAGTCACAGTTTAGAATCACTGCAGCCTATAGAGCTGCCATTCAGCTTCCGAAGGTCAGAACTTCCAATTTCTAAAATCCCCAGAGAATCAGCCTTTTGGGAGCACTGAGTATATGAGCACTAAAAATACAAAAATGGCTAGAAAATAATCCTAGTCCTTGAATTCCTCACGATGTAAAGAAACACATGCATAAATAACTGCAATTCAGTGTAATTGCTGCTATTATAAGTGTGTGCACCAGGTGATATAGCAGTGGAGGGGAAAACCAACATTCAAGGTATCAAGATGAATTGTTTTAAATCTGGAATTTCAGAAAAAATTATACTGTTTCATTTATTCATTTGTACACTTATTTAATTATTTATTCAACAACTATTCAGTGACTACTATTTTCCAAGTATTATCTTATTTTCCTTCTCATAAACTATGAAAGGTGATTAGAAATAAGAAGAGTGCATCAGTCAGTTATTGCTGTATAAAAAACTACCACCCAATTCAAGTGACTTAAAACTACGACTATTTATTTGCTCATGGGTTCCACAGATTGGCAATTTAGACTGAGTTTAGAAGTGTCATGAGAAAAGCAGGTTTGAGTCACAGAATAACCTGTTAAGATATTTGAAGAAAGTGAGATTTGATAATGATGCCACTGCACTTGCCTGCAAAATTGAATGTTTAATAGAGTGAACTGTGAACTGTTTCTTTAAAAAAAAAGAAAAAGAAGAAGAAAGAAAGAAAAGAAGAAAAAAAGCAGATTGATACATTGTAGAAATCTTTAGTGGAGAAAGCACTAGAACAGACTATCAGAGTTGGGACACCAATTTTCTGCTCATTCTATCCACTGTTATTTCCTAACTGTAAATAGAGAAGGGATGAGCTATTCCTCATACCATAAGAGTCTCCCACTAGAGACCTCTTCCTCACTCACCAGGACAACAATCCAGAAGCAGGGTAAAGAAATCTCATGAACTGATACTAATCTCCAACATATATTAAAGAGAGCGGTGATGCAGGAACAGGAACCCCACAAGGTATGGATTCCTACAGTTTCCCCACTCTCCTCTGGAGTCCTGGTACTTCCACAAGTAGACTGGAGATTTGGAGGAGGGGAGGCTCAGGACTTTGCACTTCAGTGGGTGGATTGGTGAAAACAGCACGCTGAACATTTGATACCAGTGTATTTATTTATTTATTTTAATTTTTTTGAGATGGTCTCACTCTGTCACCCAGGCTGGAGTGCAATGGTGCCATCTCCGCTCACTGCAACCTCCGCCTCCCGGATTCAAGCGATTCTCCCTGCCTCAGCCTCCTAACTGGGATTACAGGCGCCTACCACCATGCCCAGTTAATTTTTGTATTTTTTTTTTTTTTTCAGTAGAGACAGGGTTTTGCCATGTTGGCCAGGCTGGTCTCAAACTCCTGACCTCAGGTGATCCGCCCACCTCAGCCTCTCAAAGTGCTGGGATTACAGGCGTGAGCTACCATACCCGCCTGAGGCCAGTTTACTTTTAATCAGAATCTAAAGCTATGAAAAGCAATATACCTTAAAATAATCTTAGTGAAGAAAACTTCCAAACATTCTAAAAGAATAAGGTTTGCAAAACTGGCAGGAGCAATGATGTGTCTAATGGGAAGACTAAAAACTGTAAACAGTTCTTTCCAAATCTATTATAGATTTAATGCATTTCTAGTCCCAGTAAGAATTTCTAGAATGCAAATTTGATGAAACTATTCTGAAATTCATTTGAGAAAGTATTTTTAAAATATTGCTAAAAGAAGCAGAAAAAAAATGTGAATGAGTGACTTTTTTCTGTTCTTTATTTTACAAACATTTCTGTGATTTTTAAAAGAAATTTATAGTAAAAATTTTAATTTGTGAATATTTGATAAGTAAATATCCAAAATAGTACCAAAGTCTTAATATATACAAATCTTGAACTAAAAATAATATATTTCTATTGATGAATTTTGAAAAATTAGATTCTGTCAGTGCTAACCTTGAAAGAGGGACTGTGCTAGTTTCTGAAGATCCAAAGATAAATAAGATACAGCCTCTGGTCTCAAGAAAGTTCACAATCTTGTGAAAATAGGCAAGTAAATATAAAATTATAATATGCTCTTCTCAGTGCTAGGATGGTGATACTCACAGGGTTCTGTGGGTGCATATACGACAAATCTTTAGGGAGACGACACACAGCTGAGACTTAGAAGAGGGAGAGATAAAGGAGGGGAACACTCACCAATGAGTCTGGAGAAGCAGGCGAGCACCACATCATAAAAGGCCTTTCACATCATGCCAAGGACTGAATCCTCTCTGCACTTAGGCATCAGGTATTGACTGAGGAGGCTGCCAACCCATCAGACTCCCTAATCCTTAATAGCTCTGTGCCTGGAATTACTGCCTACCTCTAATAGAGAAGTGCACAGGTTGTCATTCCTCAAGTGTACTTTCATCAGAACAGGTAGAGTTTGATCCAAAATAACACTTAGAACTTAGGGCATCAATCATATTGTTTATTTTAAAAATTTAATATTTACTGGTAAAATCTTATTTTATAAAATAAAAATGCTGACTTGTTAAGATTTCTTTTTACCACCCAGTCATCAACTTGAAGACATCTAATGACTACCAAGCAAACTGAACTGAGAAAGTGCCATAAGATGTTGGAATACTGAAAGCACTTCAAGGATCACTTTTGGGCTGGCACTCTAAAAATCCCCTTTCTCCTTTTGCCCAGGCATGAAGCATTTCAACCAGATATGCATAACTGCAGCAAAGCTGACCTGTACATTGCAAGAAAAAGATATCCATGGCATCTGAAATGTCTGTGTTCTTTCTCAGCAGGAATGGCCAACTTATGGTGAGCAGAGTAGTTCTTTTTCAGTGTAATGACGTAAGATCACCAGAGTTTACAGGAAGAAAAGAATGGGAGAAAGGGTTAAGTGTTATAGAACTAAGGGTGCCAATGATGACAGGAAAGGAACCAAAACAGCAAAGGAAAGAATGCTGCAGGTAGCTGAACTCCAATCCCCCATGAGACTTAAAGCCAACAGGCATGGCCCACGTGGGTGTAATGGTCAGGACTGGCTCAGAGACCAGCCAAATAAAACATCAAGATACAAAAGTAGATCTTCCTATTCCAGTGAAAGGGGTCTCTCTGTCAGGCAAGCGTCACACTGATTAACCTGTACTCCCAAATCATGCCCTCTAACTATGTTTTTGAGGAACATTCAGTGTCCCTAAGGTCAATAAAGAGTCTGTCTCCTTTAAAGCTACTACTTTTTGATATTTGGAGTAAAAATAGATTTACTAAAACTTGGCTAAAGTCAAGAAGACCTGGGAAATTATTGCTCTTGTTACAGCTGCTGGTAGCATTTGATAGTCATTGCCAGCACTAGAAGCAGACCCATCTTTCCCTTCACTTTGCAGACTCAGCCTGAACTCTTGATAGTATGCACCTGTAAGCTATTTCAGAAAGTATTATCTAGTTCTTCTCTTGGGTCCAGCAACTCTGCTGGGGATACACAAAATGGACAAAGAAGAGTCCTCACCCTAGTGGAGAATTTAGACAAATAAAAAAGCAACATTGATACATCTTATGACTCTCATGCCATAGGGCTATTAACTGGATGGTTAAGGGTATCAAGAAGGAGACCCTCACCCTGTGAGATTGCTGGAGGCTTCCGAGAGGATTGGCTGGGTTTGACAGGTGAAAAATGGTAGAAAAGCCTTTAAGACAGACCTAATAGCAGTCATGGGAGCAGAGTACATGGCCCATCCAGAGGACTTTAGGCAGGTCAGAATGGTTGGACTGCAAGGCATGAGAGGGGGTCAGTAAGAAAGGAGAACAGAGAGATAGAGACAAGACCATGAGCCACTTCAAAAAGGCTGAATGATATCCTCAAGTGCAACATAAACCAAGAAACAGTTTTAGGGAAAGGAGTGATGTGAACCTCAAAACCTGTTATTTCAACAAGAATTTGTATCTGAACACTTTGATAAAAACAAGTTGATCAAATCAATTTTCTGACTAATTTTTGGAATTCACTGAGCCCACTTTGGCAAAGATATTCCAAATTCTTTGTCTTTCATCCCATCTCAGATCCTCTGAACCTCATTCTTTACTTTTTTAAAGCAGTGTGCTTTTCAAAGACATTAGCATATTAGTCAAGCCCTGGCTTGGGAAGTTGAGCAGCATTCATTCTGTATTGGCTGACCTCAGAGTGCTGGGTCTTCAACCTGAGGCTTTTTACCCTCTTCTGTGCAGATTAAAATCATGCAATCCACACCCTATTCTGTCTCATTAATTAATTGTGAAACTCACTATCAGAAGGCTTTGGATATTGTGGGACTTGTCTGATTGATGGTGATGGGCATCATGTTGATTTTAATGACAGTCAGTAAATTCACAGGGTGAGTCTTCACTCCCCCCTTTTGAATTCAAGGAACTATAAAATAAAAATTGCACTGTACACTTGCTAAAAATAGCAAGGGAGACTTTATTCAAGACTACTGCAATGGGGAGAGAAGTTAAACTCAACTTCACTGAAACAAAAGGCAGGAGTACTTTAACCCTGAGGTAAGCTGACGGAAAAGTACCAGAAGACATTAGGAGGAGGGTAGTCAATGTGATTAGGCCATCTGTGTTTGCTAATTGTCCTTTATAGAAGTTAGACTCCTATCCTCCCACAGAGACTAGGAGAGGGGTGCTATCACCTTCAATGGTTACATTTCAGAGAGATAGATCCCAGCTCAGGGATAAATACATTTCTAGGTTGTAGAAGATTTACATCTCATAAAGGCAGAGAAAGAATTTACAATTGCAAATTTTCTAAAGTAAAATACTCTAAGAAAAGGGAGGTCAGGGCCCTAGAGTCAAATGGCTAAAGTTGAGTCAAGCTGAGGGGGACCTTTTGGCCATCTTGGTCAAAGTGCACTTTATATCTTATGAGCAGTGTTATGCTAGAAGCAGGATATTCAGAAAGGATTACTGCATTTCTTAGGTGAGTAAAAAGATTCAGCCTCTCAGACTCCACAGTTATAACACTGTGTGAGCTATGTTATACTTGCCAAGTCTTGTATTGCCCCACGTGCTTTTTGCTTAAAAAGTATCTAACTCCTATGCTAGTTTCACCTATGATATCTCTGGGAGTACAAAAAGCTGAGAAGCAAAGGTGATATTGGCTGATGTGCATATTGACAGATTATCACCTTTTAAAAGGAGAGTGGCCATTTACTTTTGTGTCAGCAAACACAAGCCATCTTGCCTACAAAGCTTATTAAACCATGTATGCAAAATGTCTTCAAATCACCTAAAATCAGCTTATTCCACTTCCTCTTTTAATGTTTATTCATTACCCCATTTAGTAAACATTTATGTGCCAGGTCTTGTGGTAGGCAATAGATGAAGCACGTACTGTCTTCTAAAACAGACATAAACTGGACACTCTACTTGTAGAAACCAGAAACTTCCAGTCACCATAGCTAGCATGATATTACTATGATAATAATAAATATTTACTAAGTATTTCTAACAAGCCCTCTGCCAAGTACTTTCCATCATTTATATAATCTACTGTTCATAATTGCCTGATGAGTTCAGTACTTTTATTATCAGATCGCTGCTTTACAGATGAGAAATCTGAGTCTTAGAGTCATTAAATGAATTACCCGAGGTTAAGTGGCTATGAACAGTAGAACGGGAACTTGAAACCAGGTTTGTGTGACCTTAAGCCCTTGCTCCTAATAATTTTATTATGTTCCCTGCTGAATGCTACAAAGAGCATTGTATACCTCTTTCATTTATTTGGTGTAAATTCAGCGTGTATGTATTATACACCATAGAATTTAGAATCTGTATTGTTAGTGGAAATCCCCTTGTTGAGAGATAGAGAAGGCAAGAGATGACCTCTAAGAAAGGATGACAGTAGCACATGAAGCTGATACTAAAAACTCACAGTGCTCCCAGAGTACAAGCAGGGAACATGATTTGGTGAAACAAACATTTACGAAGCATTCACTCTGCCAGGCTTGTGGTGCTACATACCAAGGTGAGAGAGAGTCGTGCATCAGATAAGTTCTCTGTCCTGGAGAAGGCCACATTCTTTGGCACCACATGTCCTCAACCTCAGACCATATTCACAATTTTTGCTACACCCACATATCACATGCACTATTATTTGTTTAATATTTATCTTCAGATAGACCCACTTCGTGGCATCACAGTGAATGGAGGAAAAGACACAGAAGTAATTACTGGCAATAACTAGAATAAATATAACATCATCACAATGTTATATTTCATCTGTGCACTAGCTAAGTTCATCTCAAGTGCCAGCTTGGGAAGGAATATTTGCCTTCAATTTTCTCCTGGTTTCCTCTTTCCCATCTAACTGTAGGCATCATTCCACAGCTTTCAGGCCCAGCTCTCACTCTGTGAGAATGCTCTAGGCCTTTGTTACTCTCCTTCATTTCTACTCTTCCTGCCACCCATTGTACACATCAATGAGTGTTCAAATTCCATTTCCTCATGGCCTACATGGGTGGCTTACTGAGTAGTCTGATAAAATAACTCTCCTTGGAGAGTGCTCATAGAGTAACAGCTATCAATAATAGGAAATGTGCAACGAGCCAGGTATTGGACCATAGATCACTATCTTATTTAATCTTCACAACAGTCCAGTGAGGAAGATACTATTATTATCCCCTTTTTACAGGTGAAGAGACTGAGGCTGGCATTGTGACTATGTAAAAGTTTACCCAATTTGCTTAGGATGCCACAGCCAGTAATTTACAGACCTGTCCACCTTTCAAGTCTACATGCTCTTAAACCGAAAATTGGTCAACTTATCTGTACCACAATGAATGGAAGGTGTATATTCAGACCTATGCTATATCTCGCAGAAGATATAACATAGCTCACTCCTCATCTCACTCCCCCACCCACAACTACTGCCCTTCTCTGAAGTTCATCTGTCACACATTGCCATAGTTGTCCTTCTAAACCACAAACAACCCCCTCCCTCCTTCTCTCTCTCTTAATCTCACCCCATTTTTGTCTTTATCTCTCTTTCTCATTCCCTCATATAAGCACACACACTCAAAGACCTCCAATGGCTGGCTTCCCATTGCCTACAGGATACAGGACAAAGTTCAAACATCTTACAGCCTTCAAAGCTCTTCACAATCTGGTCACAACCTGACTTCCCTGCACCCTTTCTCTCTCAACTCACAGCCATGTTAGTTGCCCTTCACCCATCTCCCAAAAGGTCATACTTCCCCCATGGCTCTGGAAAAAGGCAGCCGTGAATGCTGCAGGGTCAAAATAAGAGCACCGGCTAGGGAGTATATAGCCCTATGTTTGAATTCCAACACTGGGCAGGTTAGTTAACCGCTGGGGACCTTCTCTGTGTTCTGACACTTAAGGCACTGACAATGCTCCTCCCATGTAAGAATTGGACTGGATCATGGGTCTAAAGCACTTCACACAGGGCCTGGCCCTTCGCACAACAATTGGCATCTAGCAAGGATTCAAATACATATTGTCATTGCTCCCTCAAAAATTAACTGGAATTGTTTTTTTCTTCCCATCTGGATAAATGTTTATCCATTCTTCAAGCTCAAAAAGTATCTTCTCTCTGAAGCCTTCTCCAATCTGTTTGGGCAATATTAATCCTTCCTCTCTATTTCCCTACCACTCAGCACCGGCCTCAACTATAACACTCAAAGTTGGATTTTAATTGTGTGTCACTTTTTTTCTTTCTACCATTAGACCATGATCTCTTCAAGAGCTTTTATATCTATCAAGTGCAATACTCAGCATATGGTAAGCTGATAAATGTTTGTTGAATAACCTAACTTGTTCCTCCACTCTCCCAGACGTTATTTGCATTTCAGTAATGTTGCAGAATTAGACTGGAACTTTAGGCACTGAAGCTGGAGCAATGGGGTGTGTGTAGAAGGTGAGCTCTTGCTTCGAAATCCCCAAACGCTTACATCCATTCCCTATGTATAAAGCCATTTTTGTTCCAGAATCACTGTCTGCAAATTATATTGGTCTTCCCTTAGAAGCATGAGGGAATTTTTGTGATAGGAAAAGATAATGCTTACAAAACTTTTTCATTGTAAACGTTGACTACTTATGAACTCTTACAGGAAAGGGACCCTCTGGATGCTGGCACACGGGAGAAGCCATCCCCGCCTCCAATTTATAATAAACGAATGTTGGAGTAAATCTCTTCATTAACTAAATGGAGAAAGGAATTTATACTCCAAAGTAATCACTCATCTCTTCAGCACAAAAACCCCAAAGATTCCACTTCCTGAACATTCTTTCTAATGGGACAGACCTTTGCTGACCGGCTGGGCACAGGCATGACTTCAGCAGGTAAACTCCATGGAGCTCGAAGCCCAAAGCAAACACACAGCAACACTGCCTGGAAGCCAGTGGGTGGCCTTGGCTGGTGAAAGCCCGTCCTTCAAGCAACTGAGGCAGGAGCCCATTAAAGGTGTTAATTTTACATGATGTGGCACGGCAAGTTTATAAATAAATAACAAATGAACATTCCCCACGGTTCCTCTCCTCTGAGTTTCTGTGTACCTGCTGCAGGCCTGGCAACAGCAGGAGCCACTCAGATGCCAGATCCGGAATTGCCCTTCAAAAAGTGAAGAAGGAGGCCTTTCTGTCACCAGGACTTGATAAGTTTTGATGCTTTCATTGCTGGATCCAGCCACCTTTGAAAGCTAGCTACTAATTCATCCTCTGTGGTTGGATGTGCTCAATTTAAGATTATTATCGTAAGCTACAAGAACAAAACACAGATGTTAGAGTTTCAGAAAAATGTACTGTTGGGGACCATTAGTAAAAAATACTGTTTAAAATATATAACATATGTAACTATTAAATACATAAAAATCCTGTGTACCATGAGGCAAAACATGATGAACATTGTTGAATATTTTAAATACCTATATTGCTGCATAAAATGGTTCTGTGCAGTAGAATTTTCTATTGCGGGAGATTTATGAAATTTTGTCAAAGTGGTAGATCATGCTAAAGTCAGGGGAAATACTAGCACACTTTAGGTTGCTTCCTATTTTTAATTAAGTTTGAAACTGCATCTTTGCACTTGTGAGTGTGCATATAAATATATGTAAGTGCAGATGTGATGAACAATAATGCTGATCTATGCAGACATTCAAATTCACACACAAAATGGCCCACTCCCACTGCAGAGA
Organism: Homo sapiens; assembly: GCF_000001405.40. Taxonomy (NCBI): domain Eukaryota; kingdom Metazoa; phylum Chordata; class Mammalia; order Primates; family Hominidae; genus Homo; species Homo sapiens. Next base: position 79,055,579 of record NC_000013.11, read on the forward strand.
ATATTACTTAATTGAGGCTAGGTCTGTGTAATTATAATGAACTAGATGTAGAACGGCAAAACTCAACCAGTATGGTTCACCCTCATTTATTTTAACAGCATAAGAGGAAAGAATTGAGCAAGCTCTTTTGTGTCCTGACCTGGATTTCCAACACGGAGATGAATCACGACAATCAACTGTTATGGTGCTTGTCATGTTGACCCATGTCAACAAAGGTGGAGACCGATTGAGCTTGGGTAGGTTGGCTGAAGTCCATCTAATTCTTATTCCAAGGGACTAAGACAGGGAAATGGGCTCAAAGGTACCCTTGAGAACAAACTGGGGCCCAAGTTACTCAAGAGTCCAAAATACTAGGCAAGTATTAACAAAGGTGGACAACCAAGGGCAAATGATAAGGTCAGGTACACAGCAATGAAAGTCTACATAAAGGAAGGTGGAGCAAAAAGAAGCAAAAAGAATGCAAGCAGTGGGCTCTCTGAACACAATTTGAGTTCTTTTTCTCCAAAAGCTGCTCCCCGTCCACCCGGATCAACCTCTCCTTCGAATTTCCACAGCACCTGGAGTTCATATCATATCATCTAGCATGTAATCATGTACATGTATGTCTTTGTTTTCATCCTAACTCAGTTTAATTGTTTAGAGATCAGTAACTATATCTCACATATCTGTGTTTTCTCCAGGGTCTAGCACAGCTTTATGTACATTAAATTTTCAGTAATTGCTCATTGGTTGAGCTCAAAGTGATTTTTGGCCTCAAGCAAGGATTGATAACAAGCTCCATCCATTTTTCCTCCAACATGTCGAGTCTACATATCTGTTCCAATGTTCCTACAAAGCATATAAACATATACTCTAAAACATACGAGGGTACGTTTCTGTTTATTCTACACTTGTTTCTGTAACTTTTTAATACAACCATACATGCAGAACCAACTAATTCTTCTGGTAACTACATAAAATTCTATGGTATGGCTCCATCACAATTTAATCATAGGCATACCTCATTTGGTTGTGTTTTGCTTTATTGTGCTTTATTGTACAGATAATGCATTTTTTAAAATAAATTGAATGTTTGTTGCAACTATGTGTCAAGCAAGTTTATCGGTACCATTTTTCCAACAGCATGTGCTCACGTCGTATCTCTGTGTTACATTTTCGTAATCCTCACACTGTCAAACTTTTTCATTATGATCTTATTTGTTATAGTGATTTGTGATTGGTGATCCTTGATGTTATTATTGTACTTACTTTGAGGTGCCATGAATTGTGCCCATACAAGACAGCAAACCTAATTGATAAACATTGTGTGTGATCTGACTGCTCCACCTACCGGCCATCCCCCCATCTCTCTCCCTCTCTTCAGGCTTTCCTATTCCAAGACACAACAATATTAAATTAGGACAATTAATAACCCTTCAATGGTCTCTAGGTGTTTATTCAAGCGAAAGAAAAAGTCGCACATCTCTCACTTGAAATCAAAGCTAGAACTGATTCTGCTTAGCAAGGGAGGTGTGTTTGGGCAAGACAGACTGAAAGCTAGGCCTCATGTCAAACAGCCAAGTTGTGAATGCAAAGAAAAAGATTAAAAGTGCTACTCCAGTGAGTACACAAATGATAAGAAAGTGGGCCAGGAGCAGTGGCTCATGCCTGTAATCCCAGCACTTTGGGAGGCCGAGGCAGGTGGATCACCTGAGGTCAGGAGATTGAGAGCAGCCTGGCCAACATGGTGGAGCCCTGCCTCTACTAAAAATACAAAAATTAGCCAGCCATGGTGGCATGCGCCTGTAGTTCCAGCTACTCAGGAGGCTGAGGCAGGGGAATCGCTTGAACCTGGGAGGTGGAGGTTGCAGTGAGCTGAGATCAAGCCACTGCACTCCAGCCTGGGTGACAGAGCAAGACTCTTGTCTCAAAAAAAAAGCAAAACAACCTTATCGCTTATGTAGAGAAAGTTACAGTGGTCTGGATAGATCAAACCAGCTACAACATTCCCTTAAACCAAAGGCTAATCCAGAGCAAGGCCCTAACTCTTTTCAATTCTCTGAAGACTGAGAGAGATGAGGAAGCTGTAGAAGACAAGTTGGAGGCTAGGAGAGGTTGGTTCATGAGGTTTAAGTAAAGAAGCCATCTCCATAACAAAAAATTGCAAAGTGAAGCAGCACGTGCTGATGTAAAAGCTGCAGCAAGTTATCCAGAAAATCTGGCTAAGATCATTGATGAAGGTAGCTACACTAAATAACAGCTATTTAATGTAGGCAAAACAAACAGCCTTCTATTGGAAGGAGATGCCATCTAGGACTTTTCATAGCTAGAGTGGAGAAGTCAACACTCGCTTCAAAGCTTCAAAGGGCAAGCTGACTCTTGTTAGGGGCTAATGCAGCTGATGGCTTTAAGTTGAAGCCAATGCTTATTTGCCATTCCAGAAATCTAAGGGCCCTTAAGAATTATGCTAAATCTATTCTGCCTATGCTATACAAATGGAACAACACAACCTGGATGACAGTGTCTTAGATTACAGCAGAGATGACTGAAGCACTTAAGCCCACTGTTGATACTTACTGATCAGGAAAAAAATAATACTCTTTTCTAAATATTACTGCTCACTGACAAGGCACCTGGTCACCCAAGAGGTCTGATGGAGATGTAAAGTAGATAAACATTGTTTCATTCCTGCTAATAGAACATCTATTCCCATAGATCAAGGGGTCATTTTTACTTTCAAGTCTTATTATTTAAGAACTATATTTCATAAGACTGTAGCTGCCATAGATAGTGATTTTGCTAATGGATCTGGGCAAAGTAAATGGAAAACCTTCTGGAAAAAATTCAGCCTACCAGATGCCAATAAGAACATTCATGATTCATAAGAGGAGGTCAAAATATCATCATTAGCAAGAGTTAGTACTTGATTCCAACCCTCTTCGGTGAGTTTGAGAAGTTCAACACCTCAGTGGTGGAAGTAACTGCAGATGTAGTGGAAATAACAAGATAGCTAGAATTAGAAGTAGAGCCTGAAGTTGTGACTGAGTTGCTGTGATTTCCCGATAAAATTTAAATGCATGAGAGTTGGTTCTTATGAAGGATCAAAGAAAGTGGTTTCTTGAGATATAATCTACTTCTGGTGAAGATGCTGTGAAGTGTTGAAACAACAACAAAAGGATGGATAGTATTACATAAACTTAGTTGCTAAAGCAGCAGCAGCGTTTGAGAAAATTAACTCCAATTTTCAAAGAAGGTCTACACTAAGTAAAATGCTATCAAACATCGTACACTACAGAGAAATCTTTTGTGAAAGGAAGAGTCCATCTATGTCACAAACTTCATTGTTGTCTTATTTTAAGTAATCACCACAGCCACCCCAACCTTCAGCAACCACCACCCTGATCAGTCAGCCGTTATCAACATTGAGGCAAGATCCTCCAGTAGCAATCAGATTATGACTCACTAAGGACTTAGATGATTTTTAGGATTTTTTTAAGCAATAAAGCATTTTACTTTATTTTATTTTATTATTTTTTATTTTTTGAGTTTTGCTCTGTTGCCCAGGCTGGAGTATAGTGGCGTGATCTCAGCTCACTGCAGCCTCCACCTCCCGGGTTCAAGTGATTCTCCTGCCTCAGCCTCCTGAGTAACTGGAATTACAGGCATGTACCACTACACCAGGCTAATTTTTTGTATTTTTAGTAGAGACAGGGTTTCGCCATGTTGGCCAGGCTGGTCTTGAACTCCTGACCTCAGGCAATCCACCCATCTTGGCCTCCCAAAGTGCTGGGATTAGAGGCATAAGCCAGCATGCCCGGCCAATAAAGTATTTTAAAATTAGAACATGTAAATTGTTTTTTAGACATAATGCTATTGCACACTTGATAGACTACAGTAGAGTGTAAACATAACTTTTATAAACTCTGGGAAACAAACAAAACAAACAACCTTGTGTGACTTGCTTTATTGTGATATTCACTTTTTTGTGGTGGTCTGGAAATAAAGCTGCGATATCTCTGAAGTATGCCTGTTGTCATTTCTCTATTGATAGGTATTTTTGTTGATACCATTTACTACAATGTGGTAACCAATATTACAACAGATACATTTATCTATGTCCTTTCAGACTCATAGTTTAATTTTTTTGTAGATTCCCACAGTAGGACTCCATAAAGGTAATTTTGCAAAATTTAATTATTAAAGATACCTCTAGTTTACTTTCCCGAAATGTTTAGTAGGTCATCCTCCTACCATTAATATATTTGAATTTCTGTTGCTCCACACTCTTGACAATAATGGACATCACCAATCCTTTTAATATTTACCAACACAAAAGGTTTAGAATTAGAATTAGGATTCAAGCAAAAAATTGTATCTCACAATTGTTTTGTTTTGCATTTCTCTGCCTGCTAATGAAATTAAGTCAATCCATTGTGTATTTGCATATCTTCTTTAAGAATTGCTTTTCATTTTGCCATTTTTTGTATTTAATGTTTAGGAGTTCTTTGTATGTTAGGAATATTTTTCATTCATAAATGATGCATATATTATTCTCCCAGATATATCTTATATTTCGTATTTTCTAAATTCCTTTTGGCCAATTACTGCCTCTTAGAACCTGCCTCCCAATCCCTTTTTGCTAGCAACCCAGGCATAGCATATAATAATGTATCCATTGAGATTTAATAAGTTTATTTAACAACTTCAACCAACATCAATCAATGATATTTGGACATATGGCTAGACTAACCATGCAACTAATTATTGTAGAGTAGTACATTTGATATCCTAAAATGACTGCTGGATTAAGTGAGGCAATTTCTTTTTAGGCCAAACTTAGCTCCCAGGTTAAATACTTATACCCTACTGGTGGGAATATAAATTACAACCACTATGGAAAACACTATGGAGGTTTCTCAAAGAACTAAAAATAGATCTACCATTTGATCCAGCGATCCCACTACTTTGGGATTCTACCCAAAGGAAAAGAAGTGATTATGTCAAATAGATACCTGCATGCTCATGTTTATCACAGCACAATTTGCAATTGCAAAGGCCTAAGTGCCCATCAATTGATGAGTGGATAAAGAAAATGTGATATACATACATATATATATATACACACACACACACACACATACACCATGGGCTACTACTCAGCCATAAAAAGGAATGAAATAATGTCTTTTGCAGCAACTTGCATGGAACTGGAGGACATTACCTTAAGTGAAGCAACTCAGGAATGGACAACAAAAAAAAAAACATATGTTCTCACTTTAAGTGGGAGCTAAGCTATGGGTATGCAATGGCATACAGAGCAGTATAACGGACATTGGAGACTGAGAAGCAGGGAGAATGGAATGGGAGCCAGGACTGAAAACTTACCTGTTGGATACAATGTACACTATTTGGGTGACTGGTACACTAAATGTCCAGACTTAACCACTATACAATTCATCTATGTAAACAAAAATCACTTGTACCGCTGAAATACAAAATAAATAGATAAAAATAACACACAAACAAACTTAGCTCCTAGGTCAATGCCCACTTTTACCTCTAGCTTCACCCCTGCTTAGTTTCAACAAAGAGAGGACTTCCCAGAATGCATTTGAGCCCAAAGATAATGTGTGAAACTATAGCTGTAAAGAATATTTGAGAAAAAATATGGGGGAAAGAACCTAAAGGGAAGCTTTTGGCCTGCGCATGTGTGAACACGCACACACACACGCACACACACACACACGCACACACACATACACACCAATGCAGAGCAGTGTTTTAATTCTAGCACAGATCTGCCCACTATATGTTACGTAGACCCTGACTTTGTTGATTCAGCAAAGGTAGAAGATTTAAAATCACACAAAGGAAAAGCCTAGAGAAATACATAAAGCTAGCAAACATTTGCACTGTAAACATCAAGAGGAAACTGAGTTTGTGTGATGGGAAAGAAAGGTTTAAGATCTTCATTCTAGCAAAATTCACAGTGATTTCTTGGATTTGAGAAACTGTTTAGATTGAGGTAGGATTTGGAGAGTTTGTCTGAATGAGGGAAGAAAGTAAACTAAAAAACTGCAGGTGTAGGGTTTATTTCATCATGGGAGTTTGAAAAGAAACAATTGGAATATAGATAAACCAGGGTGCTCTGAAGAAAGATTTTGAGGTTTGAAATAGAGCAGATAAGACTTATCCATCCCATCAGAGAGAATTAAGATCTGGGTCACCACCATGCAGGCTCAGTTAGTTTCATCCGCAGCCTATGGAGTCACTTGCATCCCTACCAGCAATTCCCCCTCAGAACGGGTCTATAGAAACCCCATGAGTTCTGCCATAGAAAAACATTACTTCAGTGAAGTACGTTTATTAATTAGATGCCACTGACTAAGTAATGTATTCCAAATGGAAGACTCCCTTTACTTGATAAGTTATATGTATAGGAAAAGATCAAATTCTAAAATGCCATAGAACTGAATAAAATACAGCAAAAAAAATTTTTTAAAAATGTTTAAACAAAGGGAGAAAATGCTCATGATATGTGTAGTGAAAATAGCAGAATTAAAAAAACTGTATATGGACTGACTTTATTTCAGTAAAGGACACATATATTTTGTATACAGAAGTGAAGAAAAAAAATGAAAAGAAAATACCACCAAATGTCACCAGTGGTTAACTCAATAGGACTGTCAGTGACTTTTATTTTCTTCTTTATAGTTCCCTGCATTTTATAAATAAGTTTAAGATGAACATGTATTATTTTTTAAATTAGAAAAAGCTATTTTAAAGAAATACCTTTTTATGATATATTTTAACTGTTTTTTTGACTAGTATGATTCTCAGTCATGTTTTCTCCTTATTTTCTCTCAGCTCATTAATCCGAAGTCCTTTCCATTCCCGTAGCTCTCATTCCTACACGATCTTGACTGCCTCTGGAGGGGAGTAGGAAAATGGCGTTTCTATTTTCTTTACTCCCAACATTTCTGTACTATCTAACCTATAGCAAAAACAAATGAAATAGAAAGAAAAAACTATAAAAACCGCTTTCAGATACAAATTTTACTACCCTATATTCGTTTTTACCCATGAGGAAGTTTTAGAAGAAAATTTCTAAGCAATAACTTCAACAAACTTGGTTTGATTTGCTTTTGTTTTGAGAGAAAGCAGGCTACAAACTCAAGCATATTTCTTTCTCTTTCTTTTTTTAATGGAGTCTCGCTCTGTCACCAGGCTGGAATGCAGTGGCACAGTCTTGGCTCACTGCAACCTCCGTCTCCCGGGTTCAAGCGATTCTCCTGCCTCGGCCTCCCGAGTAGCTGGAACTACAGGCGCACACCATCATGCCTGGCTAATTTTTTTGTATTTTAGTAGAGACGAGATTTCACCATGTTGGCCGGGATGGTCTCGATCTCCCGACCTCATGATCCGCCCACCTCGGCCTCCCCATGTGCTGGGATTACAGGTGTGAGCCACCACCCTTGGCCAAGCATATTTCAAAATGCCTGTGCATGTTTTAACATAGTATTAAGTTTAAAAGTGATCAAAGGCTTTAAATAGAAATATGTGAAGGGATTTAATCACATGGAAAATTCATGCTGGGTTGATAGTCTCTGTGTAATTTTGTGGCCCTCGATTAGCTATTATTATTATTTAAATTATGAATGACATGGTGAAATTTGTCTCTTTATAAAATTGAGGTGCACTTAATGGTGTTTCTGCCTTTTGTCACACACTTGCAACTTGACACAGGAGAAATGGACAGATTATTGACTATAACTTCACCCACACAAATATTGAACTTTTGTACATATTGTTATGAATCAAATTCACTGATAGGGTTTCCCAAACCACCGGGAAAAGGAGGTGAGATAAAATCATGGTTCTTTTCTCATCTACAACAAAAATATGGGTCTTACTACCAGATATTTTGCTTACATTGGGGAATTTTCAGACAAAAAACAAATCCGATCTTATTGGCTCTTCCTCAAAGGATCATCAGACAGTGTGTGTGTCGGAACTACTGGAATAGCTAATAAGTGGTAGAACCTAAATGTGAACTGGGCATTCTGACTCCAGAGTTCTCACACTTCATCCCTACACTTTAAGGATGAACAAACCCACAATAACCTGTGACACACTTTCTACCGCTATTTGCATATACCAGGATTTTGCTTTAACCATGAGGACAACTTTCTAATAGTGAAATTTCTAACACCAGTGAAAGTGCTGATAGGTTCCTTAGATTAAATCAAAGTACTCGTTATTTGTCTCACAATTGAGAAACATTAGCCCTGGTCACTGAATAATGAATATAATTTATTTTTATTTCCCATTGACTAGAAAATACACATTTCTCAACTTTTTGTGGAAGTGTAAATCACATTCAAAAATACATAAATCATAAGTGTTTGACTTGATAAAGTATCATAAAGTGAACTACCCCATGTGATCACTATCCAGGGCAAGAAAGAACATTGCCAGCCCCCAGAATCCCCCCTCAAGCAACCACCTAATCCCTTCTCTCTTCTTCCCCTGAAAAGTAACCACTATCTTTACTTCTAACACCATAGATTAGTTTTGTCTGTTTTTTAACTTTATTTAAGTGAAAACGTACAACGGGTATTATCTTGAGTCTGGCTTCCTCTACCCAGCATTATTATGTTTGTGAAATTGATCCCTGTTGTTAGAGGCAGCTGTAACTCATTTATTCTTAGGTATATGTTAATAGTATTCCATGAAGAAATATGTAACAATTAACTCTGTTTACCCAGTCTGCAAATAACAGATATTTGAGTTAGATATCAACACAGTTTTTTAAAGTTATTTCTGGTCAAGATACAAATACAGATTGGACATAACATGTGAGGAATTACCACCAAATGAAATATAATCTCCACCCATTTATCTCTCACAGGCAAATTAGAATAAAGGCACATGAAGTCCTTAAACACTGAGTTAGAACTTAGGCAGATTCTGACTGAGGGAGGCTAAGATTTGGCATGACAGGAATACGGGGGTTGTCAGGTGAAGGATTGAGAGTGGGAGGGATAGCGGCAGGCCCCCATGAGGGTACCAGAGTAGTTCAAGAACTTCAGTCATAGTAGATTTGTAGCCATGGTGAAGGTGGGGAAAATGAAGTTCAATGAAACAGATGGGAAAAAGTCTTCAGCAAAGTACTCAGATAGTATTGTGATAAGACAGCAAAGTCCTCATGACAGTATTATGATAAGGCAGTGCCATGGTTCTGGGTGATGAGCAGTTTAGTATAAGACCCATACCAGAAACTTCAGGTATGGGGCAATGACTGCCAACTCCAATACCATGGGGAACGTGATCTAGGGAAAGTGAGAAACGGTTTCATAGCCCTTGTCCTAGAGGCTACAGGTTCAGTGCAACTCTACAGAGGTCATCTAGAACTAGGCAAGGAATATAAAGCAACATGGTAGGAGGTAAAGAATAATGGGATCTGCAGATTAAATGGTTGCCAAGACTTCCCTCCCAGCTCTGTCAGCATTCATTCTGATTGGTTAGTGCTCAGCTGTGCAACCTGTTAATACGTTGCTTATCATTCTTTTGGCTTCCAGCAGGTGAGAAGCACAGGTGGAATCAACATTTTTTAAATTTATCCAAAATTGTACTGCTGAAATCTCAAGTTGGAGGAAACTATCAATAGACTCTTGCTTGTCTTTGCCTTTGATCTTTACCTTTTGTGTGAATTGGATTTTAATGAGAAGAAGTAGAGAAAAATAAAATTTAATAAGGAGTCAGTGTATCTAGGTTCTGGTTTTAGTTCTACCCCTGAGGTAACTAACTGCTTTTGCACAAATCAGTCTTGAGTTTCCTGAACAAAATGACAGTTGGAACAAATGATCTCCAGCTTGATAAGTCTACAACCAGTCCCTGATGTTTCCTGCCATCTCCTGCCTCCAAGGCAAGCATTGAGAATAAGTGTGTGTGTTCGTGTGTGCAAACATGTGAGTGTGCACACACATTGCCCATACTTTATATATGTGAAGTAAAATCTGCTTGGAAGTACGGGAAAAGTTGAAAATAGTTAAATAAGCACTTTTAGATGATATCTGGGCCTCTTGGGATGGTAAAAGAATTTCCTTCATTTTCTGCAATTGCTAAAAGTACAAATAGGAATTCCTTTAAAATTCACTTTTTGTCAATTACATATATCCCTTTCACTTCTAACACCTAGGACTCTAAAGTATATGTGACAACTCTGATTAGAGCAACAGAGGGAAGGACAAAGCTTTTCTGAATTATATCATTTCACAGAAGAGGCATTCCTTGTGGCCTACAAGCGCTGCAGGATAAACACTAATCATGACTCTGCCTCAACCCTGTGAAAACTGACTCATGAATAAATCGGACCAGTTTGCCTCTAATTATAGAAATGAGGCATATCTTTCTTAGAACAAGCCTTGGAAAGTATAGAATTAAACTTTGATCTAGAGAAACAAGGTCACAAAATACACTATTGCCTTACACATAGTTTGTGCTCAATAATTATTTACTAATTAGTTATTTGATAGCAGTGGATCTTTTGGCCTGATTAATCCTGATATTGCTTTAAACCTCTACTCTGTCCATGTAGCTATTAGAATGTAAGATCTCCCACAAATTAAATAGCAATACTTCAAAAAGGCAGTGTTGGCCTATATCTCAAAATCAAACTATACATGAAAAATACAAGATAGAACCTTGAAATTCAGATCTACCAGGAAGGCATGTTTGCTTTTTAACTGACATAAAACACCTCCCCTCAACCACCTTTCCCTCGTCGAGATAGGTAACATTTTAAAATCCTTTTTTTAGCCGCAAATTGCTCATATGTGTTTGTTTAAGGCCACTTGACTTCATAGTCCATTCAAAATGCAGTTCAAAGACACTCACCTGAATCCATTTCCTCTAAACAATGAGCCTAGTTTGACTTTGGAAAGAGAAATATTGAAGAATCTTCTAGGGAGGCTTTGAACACTGCCCAGGGAAAGGGCACCTTCAGGGAATGGTTAAGTACTTTGAAAACCCTAAGGAGCTTTGTAGCTAAGGATGACCTTCTAACCTCTCAACAGCTTTTTGCAAACAAAATCTTTCAAGCTTCATCTAAAAGACGGGTGAGCAACAATTTGAAGAATGAGGTTTTCCTTTGTGTCAGATTATAGAGCTCAGCAGTTCTAACCTTTTTGTTCTATTATATTTCTGATCTAAATAAGGAATTATTTATTACCAGAAAATGGTGGTATTCAGATCACAAGTCTCCGCTGAGCATTGACTTTGATCCTCAACCATATGTAGAGATTTAGGGAAGAGAATGCTGCTTATCTGGAAAGAATCCTAAGATCCACTCTGAGAAGTTTTCTGTCCAGGCAAAATGCACTCAGGGATCTGAGCGTTGACACTGAACCTGTCTTACAACTTCTTGATTTTAATTTGTTTTTGTAACGTACATTTCCCCAGTAGATTGATGTTTCATTTTTCATGTAGATGAAATTTCTTCTCCATGCCAAGAAAAAAATTGATTTACTAAAATTTTAATTCAATGCAAGTTTCTGACAAAATCGCCGAGGGATTTGTTTATATTCTTCCTTTAATATGACCTGGTGATAGTCTAGAGAGAATTTCATGCAAGAGAAAACAGTATCCTAGGAATGGACATGTTATACACTATTTCACTCTTCTCCCACAAGGAATTGGGGGGCTATTGTTAAAACTAAGCCCGAAAAGATATTTAAATATTAAAGTATCTGGAAAATTTTTGCTTTTAAAAGCAACATTTAATACACTTTGAATGCTGTTTCGAGAGCAGGGTTTTGCTTGTGTTCTGGGAAAATCAACCTAATAGCCCTTTCAGTTTTTAAATATAAAGACCCTCTTCTGAAGTAGAACTATTTGAGGCTAGCAGCTACAAAGAGCTAAACTGCTCTGGGTATAACATATAAAATTGCCTTGGTGTAGACAACGTTGGATCTCTGCAAGTTATGCTTTCTTCAGAGAAATGTTATTTTTCTCATTATGGATTGAGTCTTCTCTGTGCCTGTTCTGGGAGTCTGGGAGGGATGGAGGTAGCAACAGAAGGAAAGAGAAATAGGGAAAGAAAGGGAGCAAGGAAGAGAGACAGAGAGACAGACAGACAGGGACAGACAGAAAGAGACAGAAGAAAACAGAGAGACAGAGGTAAACAGAGACAGAGAGAGGGAGACAGAGAGTTACAGAGAGAGTCAGACAGAGATAGAGGTAGAGGGAGAATAAGAGGGAATCAGTAGCTGACAGGAAATCTGTATCTGTGGGCCCAAGGCTGAAGGAATAATTAATTGTCTTCAGAGGAGACTGTGAGACATGGAGAAATATCTTGGCTATCTATACTGGGAAATGGAGGCTCAAAATCATTATAATTTCAATACCAAAGGAAACATAACCTCATTTAAATATACTTATACTTTTTATTCTGAAGAGTTGATGAAACTGAGACATACACTGTTACATATCAAAGGAAAAAATATTCTCATTGTTACAGAGCTTTTTACCAAATTAATGTTTGATCTGTGTTAGAAGATAGTTTTGCATTTGTGTTGTAAGTAACATTTAGTCTGATATTTTAATTGATTACATTGAGCAGACTTTAAAGTTGTAAAATATCTCTAAAAAATTGCTTGAGTTGAGGTTCTCATTACCTAATGTTTATCCTTTAATCTGTGGTTTATTTATTTAAAGGACATAATCATCTATAGTTACCCAGGTGGCTCAGTAAATATGTTTTGATTCCTGCAATGTGGCAGGAAATATGCTAGGTAAGTCCTGCCTTTTAGGAGCTCACAATTTCTTTGGCAGGCAGAAATGTGTACAAATAATTGCAAGACAGTGAGAAAAACATCATAACTGAGATAATCAAATATGGTCAGGAAGTCCTGAAGAGAGCAGTACTACATTACCCTGGAGTCCTTGGGAGCGGTGAGGGTTGGGGTAGGGGGCAGTGAGAGGTCAGGGAAGATCTTCCAGAGGTAGGAATGGAGGAGTAGCATTACAAGGGCCAAGAAGGGGGAGTAAGGTGTTCTAAGACAGAAAATCATGATTGACACAGATGGTCATAAACATGCAAAGTATATGTGCAAACTTAGCTCTATTTGAGCACATCATTTTGTGGAGAGCCAGTAGCCAAGTAGGTAGTGGGACTAAATGGGGGCCAACATGTCTGCAAACTTTGAAATAAGAATAAAAGTCCCTGTGGAGCCAAATAGATGCCACCAAACCCAAAGCTAATTCTATAATATTCAATTTGCTTCTTACATAAAGAAGTCTACCACATTTTATTACTCATTTTCTAAATTTATGGTAGTGTAAAGCAACAAATAAGTTGCTATATAGAAGAACCCTTATAGCAATGAAGGGACAACTCCTTATTCCCTTCTATTTATTGCTTGGGTGGTGATTACATGGGAGAATTAACTTTATGATGATTTATTAAATGATACACCTATGATTTGTGCTTTTTTCTATATGTGTGTTACATTCCAATAAAAAGTTGAAAATGTGTTTTCTAATAAGTAGTAAATAAATTATACAAAGTATTCAATGATCAGGGCTAATGTCTTTCTAGTGTGAAATAGATAATGAGCACCTTGATTTGATGTGAGGACACCATCAACCTTTCCATTGGTGCCAGAAATTTTGCCATTAGAAATTGAGCCCTTGCAGTTAAGGCAAGATCCTGTTATATGCAAACACTCGTGTCATAGATTATTGTGGGACTGTTCATCTTTAGGGATGAAGTGTGAGAACTCTGGAGTCAGAATGCCCAGCTCCCATTCAGGTTCTACAACTTACTAGCTGTTCCAGTTACTTTTGCTATGTAACAGAATACCCCAAAACTCAATGATTTTTTTTCTTGCAGATTCTGTGAGTTAGGAATTTGTGGAAGTGTTCATCTCATTGATACTTTTGCCCTTTGTAGCACTGATTAAGGTCACTTGGTGATTCTCAGCTGGTGGGTGAGCTGATCTGGAAGGTCCAAGACAGCTTCATTCATGGTCGCATGTTTCGCACTGGAGATGAAATGACTCAAAGGCTAGGATTGCCAGCCAGAGCATCTACATGTGACCTCCCCATGTTATTTGACTTCGACACAATGTAGCCATCTCAGGGTAATTAGAGTTCTCACTTTGCAGCTCAGAGCTTCAAGCACAAGTGTTTCAGTGACCAAGGCAGAAGCTACTGTGCCTCTTATCTTCCAGGTGTAGAAGTCCACAGGACATCAGCCAGATTTCTTTAGGAGGAGTCATCATAAACCCACCTAGATTCAAAAGAAGGAAGGGACACAGACCCAAACCCTTTATGGGCAGAGTGGCAAGGTCACATTATGGAAGAACATGCAGGATGAGAAATGGTGGGGCTGTGATCATCTGTAAAAATTACCATCTGCCACACTTGCTGTGTGATCTTGGGCAAATCTTTCAAACTAAGACTTAGTTATTTCATTTGAAAAATGATGCTGATAATAATAGCCAACTCATGGGATAGCTTTAAGGATTGATGAGATAATACATATCAGGTGCTTAGTGCAGTGCCAGAGTCATAGTAACAGATCAGAAACACTTCCTATTTACCTTCCTATTAAGGTGGCAGGAGCTGAGGAAAGTGGAAGAGGATAGAGAGGTGTCTCTAGAATAAATGTCAGAGATAAAGCCTGGATAAAAGGACACAGATGGAAGGAATAGGCAAGTCACACAACAAGGGATGATTTCTAAGATGACAAAGTGGCTCTGAAAACAATGATAGGCAAGGAATAAAAGCAAACTTTCTCAGTTTCCCAATCTTCCCTAGGATTGGCCTTGGTATTTTGTCAAGCAAGCAGTAGGGGATGACTTGTTTATAAAAGTCACTTTCATTAGAAACACCAGATTGTCTTCATTCATGGGGTTACCAAGTAAAAATAAAAGGAGGACCCCTGTTATGACACATTCTGACACTGACAGCAAATAGTAATCTTTCATAAGTCTCTAACCAAATGAACACCAACCTTTCTGGGCCATAACGGTACCCTGGGATTTGCCACCGAAATGGAAGCATGTAACAAACTTTAAGTAAAATAAATGGATCTCTTCCAAACAACTCCCAGATGAACCAGGTAAAGGGGATCTGTACTACAGGATGTTTTATTAAAACGTAATGGAAAGAGCTGAAACCCCTTTGTCACTTGGCAGTTGTGAAAGAAACCTTTTTAGCAAATGACAAAAACAGGAAGTTATGTAAATTAACACTTGGCATGGTACTAAAGCAAGATTTTCAACCAAAAAACTGGTTTATCAAGCATCCATTGACTAAATTTTGTGCCCTTTTTTTTTAATTGCAAGAATACAGAAATATATGAAAAACTAAGTGGATAACAAATGTTATTGCAGATTCTGTACACGGATTTACTGCCACCCTTTCAGATTTTCAGTGAAGAAAACTTATTGAACACCTACTGGATACTAAATTTGAGTCCTGTGGAAAGCACAGCATCTCTACAGTGCCAATAAATAAACAAATTGAAGAATGGCAAAAATCATGGTAATTGTGACTCAATATTGGAGGAGTTGATTATAATCTTGAATTTTGACCTTTCAATGAACAGAAAAAAAAAAACCTACAAATATTTACTCATTTCCTACCATGAGTACAAACCTTGCTATGCATGAGGAGGTATCAAAGTTGAATAAGATCAAACTGCTATTGTCATAAATGTCAAAGTCTTGTGGAGGAGACAGAGGGATATATCAATAACTTTATTATGAAGCTCATAAAAATGAAATGTTATAATAGAGATAAAACATCATTCTTGCCAACATGGGTGTCGTTAACATAGAAAGTTTACTAGATAAAATAGGATTTGAATGGGAGCCTTAAAAAAAATAGGTACTGCTGTGAAGGAATATTTAAGATATAGGAATATTTAAGTATACTGAGAAAATGGAGCAAGTTTCCAGAAGCAGAATACAGAGAATATTCTAGGAGGAATGAGCTGACTGCACTATGAGCTCCTTGAAGATAGGGATTGCTTTTGGTTATTTTCAACATTGCTGGTTCATGGTAGAAGCTCAATAAATGTTTAAAAAATGAATATTGGACAATGTTCACTTGGCATTAGGCAATGGATATACAATTAAAACATTATATAGAGGCAACAATAAAAGAAATATTTCAATGTCCAGGCCAAAATTTCAGATATTATTTTATGAGATGATGTGATAGATTGATACTATAGGACAACTTAACCATATGTTACAAAATGAATGAGAACAAAAGGGAAGTTAGTGGCAGAGATGAACTTCTCCTCCGTTTATATCCCACCAACTAGGTCTGTTCTCACAGTGGGTATTCAGGAAGGGAGTTTACCTAATTCATTAAAATAAAAGAATGGTGTAACATACAAAGAGGTAAATTATCATAATTTCATTTTCAACTATGTTGTTAGACTTTCTCCACTATATTTTCGAACATCTCTGGACTCAATCTAATTTATTTTTAAAAATAGCTAATTGTGATTATGTCTTAAGTCTTGAAGACAGAAGGGGACAAAACTTACCAGAAAAAAAATCAATTTATTTGGCTACATACAAAATGAGAAAACTTTGATGCAAGTAAACAAAGCCTAAATAAGAATGCAAACAACATACAGTAAAAGATGTTTACAGTAAATAAGAGCAATAAAAAGTATAATACATTTACTATATGAAGAAATCATTAAACTTGTTAAGAAAAATATTAACAGGCTGGGAACAGTGGCTCACACCTGTAATCCCAGCACTTTGGGAGGCTGAGGCAGGCAGATCACAAGGTCAGGAGATCGAGACCATCCTGTCTAACACGGTGAAATCCCATGTCTATTAAAAATACAAAAAAAAAAAAAATTAGCTGGGTGTGGTGGCAGGAGCCTGTAGTCCCAGCTACTTGGGAGGCTAAGGCAGAATGGCGTGAACCCGGGAGGCAGAGCTTGCAGTGAGCCGAGATGGCGCCACTGCACTCCAGCCTGGGTGACAGAGTGAGACTCCATCTCAAAAAAAAAAAAAAAAAAAAAAAAAAAAAAAAAAAACTAAGAAATCATTAGATAAATAGCCAAAAGTCTTAGATAACTAAGAGATGATTCACAGAAAACAAATTGTAAATAAAAAAGGGAAGTGTTAAACCAGGATAGTAAGAAAAAAAGAATACACGTTAAAACAGTGAGATGCCATTTTCTATAGACAGTGTTAAACTAACAAAAACTATGCTTTAATGTTAATAGCCAATTCTGCCAAGAGTGCAACAAAAGTATTATATTTATACATTGTTATCATAGTATTAATGCAACTCTTAGAAATCTACTTAACAAAATGTACCAAGAGCCATAAAAATGGTAAATCCCACTCATGGAACTTGATCTAAAAAACAAAACAAAAAAAAATCCAGGCTGGGCATAGTGGCTCATGACTGTAATCCCAGCACTTTGGGAGGCCAAGGCAGGAGGATCACTTAAGCCCAGGAGTTTGAGACCAGCATGGGCAACATAAGAGACCCCATCTCTACTAAAACTAAAATAGAAAATTAGTTGGGCCTGGTAGTGTGTGCCTGTGTCCCAGCTACTTGGGAGGCTGAGGTGGGAGATTTTCTTGAGCTTGGGAGGTTGAGGCTGCAGTGAACTATGATCACACCACTGTACTCCAGCCTGGATGACAGGGCACGACCCTGTCTCAAAAAAATTTTTTTAATACAAAAGAAAGAAAATGTATAGATTTGAAATTAATTCCGGTATAATTATAGCAGTGAATACCTGACAAAGGCAAAGTAGATTTAACAAGCAGTTATTGAGTGACTTTCTACATTGCCCTTCATGATAGCAGTAAAGGAAGCCAAGAATACATAGCTGCTGCCATCAGGCAGCACTTATTGTTGTTGTTCAAAACTAAGCATCATGTATGCCTTATGGTAATCACAAAGAAAAAAGCCACAATGGATACATGAACAAGAAAGAGAAAGAAATAAAAGCTTAGCACTATAGCAAAACACCAAACACAAAATGTACACAACAAAGAAAGAAAGGAACAAAAAGATTTACAAAACAACTAGAAAACAACAAAATGGCGGGACTAAATTCTTACTTATAAATAATAACCTTAAATGGAAATGGATTAAACTCTGCAACCAAAACACATAAAGTGACCAGGATAGTAAGAAAAAAAGAATACATGTGAAAACAGTGAGATGCCATTTTCTATAGACAGTGTTAAACTAACAAAAACTATGCTTTAATGTTAATAACCAATTCTGCCAAGAGTTGAAAAATAAAAGAAAGAGTTGAAAAATTAAAGAAAAAATAATAATATCCAACTATATGCTGCCTACAAGAGATCTAGCTTAGCTTTAAGGACACACATAGGCTGAAAGTGAAGGGATAGAAGAAGATACTCCATGTAAACAGTAACAAAAGAGCAAGAGTAGTTATACTTACATCAGGTAAAATAGACTAAGTCAAAAATTGGCAAAAAGAGACAAAGAAGGTCATTATTTAATGATAAAGGGGTCAACTTATCAATAGGACATAACAATTGTAAATATATATGCATCCAACATCAGAACCTAAATATAAAAAGGAAAAAGAAACATTAATGAACATGAGAGGAGAGATAGATAGCAAATACAATTGTAGTATGAAACTTCCCCACTTTCAAAAATGGATAGATCAACCAGACAGAAAGTTAACAACAAAATATTTACATCAACTGCATTTTACACCAAATAAACCTAACGGACATATATAGAACTTGCCATCCGATAGCAATAGGATTTACATTCTTCTCTGGCTCAGATGGAACATTCCCCAGGATATACCATATGTTAGATCATAAGACTAGTCTTAAAAAATTCAAAAAGATTCAAATAACATCTGGTATTGTTTCTCATCACAATGATATAAAACTAGAAATCAATAACCACAGGAGGAATCTTAGAAAATTTACAAATATGTGGAAATCAAATATGCTCCTGAACAATCAATTGGTCAAGGAATAAATCAAAAGGGAAATTTAAAAATATCTTGAGACATATAACAATGGAATCACAACTTAACAAAACCTATGGGATGTAGCAAAAGCAGTTCTAAACAGGAAGTTTACAGCAATAAATGCCTACCTTAAAAAAGAAGAATGTTTCCAAGTAAATAGCCTACAATTATGCCTCAAGGAGATTTTAAAATAAAAAAAGAACAAACTAAACTCAGAGTAGCAGAAGGAATAAAATAATAAAAATCAGAACAGAAATAAATCAAATAAAGAAAAATAGAAAACATAATAAAAGCAGGATTATTTTTTAAAACATAAACAAAATTGACAAACCTCCAGCTAGACTAAATACAATGCAATAAAGACTCAAATAAATGAAATCAGAAGTAAAAGTAAAGATATTACAACAGAGATGTCTCAGAAATTAAACAGATCATAAGAGACTGTTATAAACAATCATATGGCAAAAAGATGAATGATCTAAAAAAAATGAATAAATTGCTAGAAAAATATAGCCTACCAAGATTGAATCAGGAAGAAACAGAAAGCTTGAACAGGCCAATAAAAAAAATAAAGACACTGAAGTAGTAATTAGAAATCTTCCAAAGAAGAAAAGCCCAATATTAGATGGCTTCATAGCTGAATTCTACCAAACATTTAAAAAGAAGTATTACCAATACTTTATTAAACTTTTACTTAAGAAATAGAGCTAGAGGAAACATATACAAACATGTTTTACAAGGCCAAGATCACCTTGATAACACCAAAGCCAGACTAAGACACTGCAAAAAGAGAAAACTACAGGCTAATACGTCTGATGAAACTTGGTGCAAAAATCCTCAATGAAATACTATGAAACCAAATTTAATAATACATCAAAAATAATATACATCATGACCAACTGAGATTTATCCCAGGTGTGCAAGTCTGGTTTAACATATGCAGATCAATCAATGTGATATGTCACATTAACAGAATAACATAAAATTCATAGGATCATCTCAACTGACAGAAAAAGCATTTGACAAAGTTCAGTATCCTTTCTTGATAAAAAACTTTTAACAGTTTAGGTATAGAAGGAAAATTTCTCAACATAATAAAGTTCATTTTTGAAATACAGCTTAAATCCAAATAAATGGGAAATAACTGAAAGCTTTTCTGCTAAGACCCACTACAAGGTAGGGATGCCCACTCTTGCCACATTTATTCAACACAGTACTGAAAGTACCAGCCAGAGGAATTAGGCAAGAAAAAAAAAAAAGACATCCATGTAGGAAATGAAAAAAGCAAAATTGTCTTTGATGCTGATGACATCATCTTATACACAGAAAATTCTAAAAACTCCATCCCCCAAAAAAGTTAAGATTGATAGATAAATTCAATACAGTTGTAGGTTATAAAAACAACATACAAAAATCAGTAACATTTCTATACACCAACAATGAACAATCCAAAAAAAAATTAAGAAAACAATCTCATTTACAATACCATCAAAAATAAAATAAAATAAAATACTGGGAGTAAAGTTAACCAAGGAGTTGAAAGATCTGTACACTGAAAGCTATAAAACATTAGTGGAAAAAATTGAAAAACACAAAAACTAAAAAGATATTCCATGTTTATGGACTGAAAGAATTAATATTGTTAAAATGTTCATATTACCTAAAGCAATCTAAAAATTCAATACAATTCCAATCAAAATTCCAATGGCATTTTTCACAGAAATAGAAAAATAAATCCTAAAAGTAATATGGAACAAGAAGAGACCTTTAATACCAAAAGTAATCCTGAGCAAAAAGAACAAAGCTGGAAGCATCATGCTACCTGGATTTAAAATAGATTATAAATATATTGCAATCAAAACAGCATGATACTGGCATAAGAACACACACATCAACCAAAAAAACAGTAGAGAAAGCAGGAAACTAAACACAACTGTTTACAGTCAATTGATTTTTTGAAAAACTATGCCAAGAGTACACAACAGGTAAAAGACAGTCTCTTCGATAAATAATGTTGGGAAAACTGGACATCCACAAGCAGAATAAAACCAGACCCTTACCTAACACTATATACAAAACTCAACTCAAAATGGATAAAAGACTTAAATATAAGACTTAAGACTACAGCTACTAAAACAAAACATAGGGGAAATTCTCCCCAACATTGGTCTCGGCAATGACTTCTTGAATAGGATTGCAAAAGCACAGGCAACAAAAGCAAAATAGCCAAATCTAATTATATCAAACTGAAAAGCTTCTGTACCACAAAGAAAACAATAAAATGAAGAGATAGCTCACAAAAGGAGAGAAAATATTTGCAAACCATATATCTGGCATATCCAAAATAAATAACTCAAACAACTCAACAGGAAGAAAACAACCTAATTTAAAAATGGGCAAAGAATCTGAACAGACGTTTCTCAAAAGAAGAAATACAAATAGACAACAGATACATGAAAAAATGCTCAACATCTCTAATCACCAGGGAAATGTAAATTAAAACCACAATGAGATGTCACCTCATACCTGTTAGAATGGCTGTTATAAAAAAAAAGAATAATAACAAGTGCTGACAAGAATGTGGAAAAAAGGGAACCCTGTACACTGTTGGTGGAAATGTAAATTAGTATAACCATTATGGAAAACAGCATGAAAGTTCCTCAAAAAAAAAAAAAATAGAACTACCAGGTGATATAGCAATTCCACTTCTTGGTATATATCCAAAGAAATTAAAATCAGTATTTAAAAGGGATATCTGCACTCCCGTGTTCATTTCAGCATTATTCACAGTAGCAGAGCTATGGAAGCAATCTAAGTGTTCAGAAACGAATGGATAAAAAAGATTTTACGTATGTGTATATAGTGTTTGGGATACTATATATGTACATACAGTGTTTGGGATACTACACAGCCTTAAAAAAAAAAAAAAGGAAATTCTGTCATTCACAACAGGGATGAATACAGCAAACATTACGCTAAGTAAAATAAGCCAGGTACAGAAAGACAAATATTGTATTAGCCGCTTACATGTGGAATCTAAAACAGTTGCCCTCATAGAAACAGAGAGTAGAAGGTAGTTACCAGAGGCAAAAGGAGAGGCAAAGGGATGATCTTGATCAAAGGGGACAAAGCTTCAGTTACACTAGAGGAATAAATTTTGGGGATCTTTGCACTGCATGGTGACCATGCTTAATAGTAACATATTACATATTTCAAAATAATTAAAAGACTAGATTTTTAATATTCTCACCACAAAAATAAGTTGGTGAGATGATGTATACGTTAATTTGTTTGATTGAATGTTTCTATAATGTATATATAGATCAAAACATCACATTATTCCCCACAAATATACACAATTATTATTTGTCAATTTAAAAATTAAACTTAAAAAATTGTAAACCATGACCCTTTACCACTAAAAACTGTAATGCATTTTTCACAGAAATAGAAAAAAAATCCTAAACTGTGTATGGAATCACAAAAAATCTGGAATAGCTGAAGTTGATACTGAGAAAGATAAAATTGAAGGCATCACACTTCCTGATTTAAAATTATACTACAAAGCTATAATAATCAAAAGAGTTTGATGCTGGCATAAAAATAGAAACATGGATGAATGGAACAGAACAGAGAGCCCCAAAATAAGTCCAAACATACACAGTCAACTAATTTTTGACAAGAGCACCAGTAGGACACAATGGAGAACGGATACTTTCATAACTATGGTTTGGGAAAAAATTCTTTTTCTGCATTCAAAAGAATAAAATTAGTCCCTCATCATACCTTATAAACAAAAATCAACTCAAAATGGGTAAAAGACCTAAATGTAAGACCTGAAACCAAAAAATTCCTAGTAGGGAACAGAGGGAGAATTCCTTAACATTGGACTTGACAATAATTCTTTGGCTATCACAACAAGAGCTTAGGCTACAAAAGAAAAAAATAAATGAATGGGACTACATCAAACTAAAACACTTCTGCATAACAAAGGAAACAATCATCAAAATGAAAAGGCAACCTATGAATTGGAAAAAATATTTGCAAACCACATATCTAATGAGGGGTTAATATCCAAAATTTATGAAGAACACTTATAACTCAATAGCAGAAAAACAAATAACTCAATTAAAAAATAGACAAAGGAGGATCATGGTGGATGGGAGGCAGGACTAGATTTCAGCTCCCACTCAGATGGACAGAGTAGCATGTGGAGTCTCGCATCATGAATTTTTGCTCCAGAACTACTGCAGGAACAATTCAGGAAAGCCAAGAGAACCCACAGACGAGATTGCTCCTGCAGGACTTGGGAGACACACCAAATACTGTGAGTGCCCAAACTGTGGAAGTGGGAAAGGGGGACTGTCTGCCCCCAAACACACACCCTCACTTGGGAACTTGAAGGTCTAGATCATGGGAGAAGATTCTGACCTTACCTGGAGCTGAGTCAATTTAGAGAGCTGAGTGAAATACAGGAATAGAGGAAGTGGTGGGAAAAGCCCTTTGGGATCTCTGGGTTCCCAGGGAAGCCATTTCTGACTTGTCTCATAGGGCTACCTGGAGAGGGCTGTCAGTGGAACTGGGAAAAGGGCAAAGAGAGAAGAAAACTTCCAGCTGAACTTTGTAACAATTCCAACTGAATGAGAAGTCTCCTGGCCAGAACTCAGGGGAAGGCATAAATCTTGTGTGCAGACTCCACAGGTCGGGAAGCACAAAAGCCCCACTTGCTTTTGCAGCTGGGAGGCTGGTAGCCTGGGGCAAGTTCTCAGCCCTGCTCACCCACTGCCTGGAAACAGACTCAGTCCTGTTGTGGGGGGCATGGTGAGAGTGATAACTGCCTTCTGGGTTTTGTGGAAGCTGGGTGAGGCCTGTAACTGCCGACTTTCCCCCACTTCCCTGACACCTGCATGACACAGGAGAGGCAGCCATAATCCTCCTAGGAACATAACTCCATTGACCTCAGAACCACACCCGCATCTGCCAGAGCAGCCACAGGAAGACCCGCCCAAGGCAAGACTGAGCTCAGACATGCCTAAGCCCTGCCCCCACCTGATGGTCCTTCCCTACCATCCCTGGTAGCTGAAGACAAAGGACATACACTCTTGGGAGTTCTAGGGCACAGCCCACCACCTGATTCTACCCATACTACCACAGCTGATGCTCTGCTGAAAGCGCCACCTCCTGGCATGAGGCCAACCAGCACAAAAATAATGCACTAAACCAAAACTAAGGACCCTCATAGAGTCCATTTCACCCTCCTGCCACCTCCACTGGAGCAGATGCTGGTATCCATGGCTAAGAGATCCATAGACGGTTCACATCACAGGACTGTGTGCAGACAACCCCCAGTACAGCCTGAAGCCTGGCAGACCTGATAGGTGGCTAGATTCTGAAAAGAGATAACAAACACTACAGCTCGGCTCTCAGGAAGCCACATCCCTAGTAAAAGGGGAAGAGTACTATATCAAGGGAACAACCTGTGGGACAAAAGGATCTGAACAACAGCCTTGAGCCCTAGAACATCCCTCTGACAGAGCCTACCCAAATGAAAAGGAACCAGAAAACCAACTCTGGTAATGTGAAAAAACAAGGTTCTTTAACACTCCAAAAAAAAAAAAAAAATCACACTAGCTCAGCAGAAATTGATCCAAGCCAAAAAGAAATACCTGATTTACCTGAAAAAGAATTCAGAAGGTCAGTTATTGGAGAAGCACTAGAGAAAGGAAATTTAAGGAAATTAAAAATGATACAAGAAATGAGGAGTGAAACCTTCAGTGAAATAGATAACATAAATAAAAAAAAATCAAAACTTCAGGAAACAATGGATGAACTTATAGAAATGCAAAATGCTCTGGAAAGTCCCACCAACAGAATCAAACAAGCAGAAGAAAGAATTGCAGAGCTTGAAGACAAGATTTTTGAATTAACCCAATCCAACAAAGACAAAGAAAAAAGAATAAGAAAATATAAACAAAGCCTCCAAGAAGTCTGGGATTATGTTAAACTACCAAACCTAAGAATAATCAGTGTTTCTGAGGAAGAAGAGAAATCTAAGTTTGGAAGACATATTTGGGGAATAATTGAGGAAAACTTACCCGGCCTTGCTAGAAAACTAGACATCCAAATACAAGAAGCTCAAAGAACACCTGGGAAATTCATTGCAAAAAGATTGTCGCTTAGGCACACTGTCATTATGTTATCTAAAGTTAAGACAAAGGAAAGAATCTTAAGAGCTATGAGGCAAAAGCACCAGGTAACCTATAAAGGAAGACCTATTAGATTAACAGCAGATTTCTCAGCAGAAACTTTATAAGCTAGAAGGAATTGGGGCCCTATCTTCAGCCTCCTCAAACAAAACCATTATCAGGCAAGAATTTTGTATCCAGTGAAACTAAGCTTCATAAATGAAGGAAAGATACAATCTTTTACAGACAAACAAATACTGACAGAGTTCACCACTACCAAGCCAGCACTGCGAGAACTGCTAAAAGGAGTTCTAAATCTTGAAACAAATCCTATAAATACATCAAAACAGAGCCTCTTTAAAGCATAAATCTCACAGGACCTATAAAACAAAAATACAAGTTAAAAAAAAAGGTATACAGGCAACAAAGAGCATGATGAATGGAATAGTACCTCACATTTCAATACTAACGTTGAATGTAAATGGTCTAAATGCTCCACTTAAAAGATACAAAATCACAGAATGAATAAGAATTCACCAACCAACTATCTGCTGCCTTCGAAAGACTCACCTAACACATAAGGACTCACATAAACTTAAGGCCAGGTGGAAAAAGACATTCCATGCAGATGAACACCGAAAGCGAGCAGGAATAGCTATTCTTAGACAAAACAAACTTTAAAGCAACAGCAGTTAAAAAAGGCAAAGAGGGACATTATATAATGATAAAAGTCCTTGTCCAATGGGAAAATATCACAATCCTGAATATATATGCACGTAACACTGGAGCTCCCAAATTTATAAAACAATTACTAATAGACCTAATAAATGAGATAGACAGCAGCAAAATAATAATGGGAGACTTCAATACTCCACTGACAGCACTAGACATTTCATCAAGATAGAAAGTCAACAAAGAAACAATGGATTTAAACTACACCCTAGAACAAATAGACTTAACAGATATTTACAGAACATACTACTCAACAACCACAGAATATACATTCTATTCAACAGTGCATGGAACTTTCTCCAAGAATAGGCCATATGATAGGCCACAAATAAGCCTCAATATATTTAAGAAAATTGAAATTATATCAAGCACTCTCTTAGACTACAGCAGAATAAAACTGGAAATCAACTCCAAAAGAACCTTCTAAACCAGCAAATACATGGAAATTAAATAACCTGCTCCTGAATGATCACTGGGTCAGTAACGAAATCAAGATGAAAATTAAA
Organism: Homo sapiens; assembly: GCF_000001405.40. Lineage (NCBI taxonomy): Eukaryota > Metazoa > Chordata > Mammalia > Primates > Hominidae > Homo > Homo sapiens. The sequence continues at coordinate 79,082,002 of NC_000013.11, forward strand.
AAATTCTTTGAACTGAATGACAATAGTGGCACAACGTATCAAAATTTCTGAGATACGGCAGAGGTGATGCTAAAATGAAAGTTCATAGCCCCAAATGCCTACATCAAAAGACTGAAACAGCACAAACAGACAACCTAAGGTCACACCGGAAGAAACTAGAGAAACAAGAACAAACCAAACCCAAATCCAGCAGAAGAAAGTAATAACCAAGATTAGAACAGGACTAAATGAAATTGAAACAAAAAATACAAGATAAAGGAAACAAAAAGCTGATTCTTTGAAAAGATACATAAAATTGATAGACCATTAGCAAGATTAACCAACAAAAGAAGAGAGAAAATCCAGACAAGCTCAATTAGAAATAAAATGGGAGATATTACAACTGATACCACAGAAATACAAAAGATTATTCAAGGCTACTATGAACACCTTTACATGCATAAGCTAGAAAACCTAGAGATTACTAAACTCCGGAAGATACAACCCTGCTAGCTTAAATCAGGAAGAATTAGATACCATGAGTAGACCAATAACAAGCAGTGAGATTGAAATGGTAATTTAAAAATTACCAATGAAAAAAAGTCCAGGACCAGATGGATTCACAGCTGAATTCTACCAGATATTCAAAGAAGAATTGGTACCAATCCTACTCACACTATTCTACAAGATACAGAAAGAGGAGATCCTTCCTAAATTATCCAATGAAGCCAGTATCACCCTCCAGGAAAGTACATAACCAAAATAAATAAATAAATATATAAATAAAAGACCAATATCGCTAATGAATATAGATGCAAAAATTCTTAACAAAATACTAGCCAATCAAATCCAATAACGTATCCAAAATACAATCCACCATGATCAAGTGGGTTTCAAACCAGGGATGCAGGAATGGTTTAACATATGCAAGTCAATAAATGTGATACACCACATAAACAGAATTAAAAACAAAAATTACATGATCATCTCAATAGACACAGAAAAAGCATTCAACAAAATTCAGCATCCCTTTATGATTAAAACTCTCAGCAAAATCAGCACACGAGGGACATACCTCAATGTAATAAAAGCCATCTCACAGCCAAAATAGGTGTACTCCGTATATTCTCACTCATAGGTGGGAATTGAACAATGAGAACACATGGACACAGGAAGGGGAACATCACACTCTGGGGCCTGTTGTGGGGTGGGGGGAGGGAGGAGGGATAGCATTGGGAGATATACCTAATGCTAGATGACGAGTTAGTGGGTGCAGCGCACCAGTATGGCACATGTATACATATGTAACTAACCTGCACATTTGTGCACATGTACCCTAAAACTTAAAGTATAATAATAAATAAATAAATAAATAAATAAAAGAAATAAGCCAGGCAAGGAAGAAAAGTATTGCATGATCTCACTTATCAGTGGAAACAAGCAAATAAACAAAAACATCAAATGTATAGAGAATAAAACAGTGGTAATCAGGGCTAGGAGGTTGGGGAGCAGAGATGGGGATGTAAGTCAAAGTATATGAAGTAGCAGATATGTAAGATGAACAAGTCTAACCATCTAACATACAACATGAAGACTGTAGTTATTAATAATAATATAAAATTGTATTGGATTAATAATTTTTGTTAAATAAGTAGATTTTAGCTGCTCTTGTCAAAAAAAACTATATGAGATGAGAGGTATGTTATTTTGTTTCACTATAGTGAACATTTTACTACCTATATGTATCCAATATCGTATTATAAACCTCAAAAATGGATAATGAAATTTATTATTTAAAACATGTTTTAAAAATACAAAAGTTGTTTGTAACCCAGAGGATACATGCTTGAGGGAATGGATACCCCATTCTCCGTGATGTGATTATTACACATTGCATGCCTGTATTAAAATATTTCATGTACCTCATAAATATATACACCTACTATGTACCCACAAACATGAAATAATTTTAAAAAATTTTTTAAAGGAAAAGATTTTTAAAAATACAAAGATTAGGGAGTCATTCAAAAACAATAAAGGGAGGCTACAAGCCTGCGATGAGCTTCACACTCCGCTAACCTCTAAAACCAAGAGTCTGCACATAGGAAGTCCCTCAGAATTTCTTGCAGCGCTTTCAAAATATATGCATGTCTAAGTCTCACCCTCAGGAGATTCTGACTCAGATTCTACCAATTTCAGTTGGTTTTTGGTTCACTTAATTACACTGAAAACTGTAAAGAAAATACACCTGGATACAGGTACATTTAGACATTGCTAATCGGATCATTAAGCTTGTCAAATGCCCTACAAAAGAATAGTAATTCAAAATCATGAAGCATTAAATTGCAAAAACCTGGCCTGTATGCATAGGATGCTGGTAATTCTAAAGTGATGCTTTGTTTGCATGAGTGTTGAAAGGCTTTAAGTTACTGAGAAAGTATCATCATAAATACAAGTGGCAAATTTTGTACTAGCCATGATAAGAATGAGTCACTAAAAGCTAAATGGACTTCTATGGTTATTCTTAGGTTTTATGACTTTTCAAAACTTAGTGTTTATTATTAAAGTTATTCATAAAAATAATTAATCTAAAATTTGATAGTATCCTTTCCTCATCTCTCTTTCTTTTTTGCCCATTACAATTGTCTCAAAAAGGAAATTACATTTTGTATATATTATGTATTCTCTGAACTATTTCATTTTCCATATTATAATTCTCAAGTTGCTTCTGATGTGTGTGATATTAACAAATCCTAATTGGTTGAGTAATAGGAGCAGACAGCCTATATAGTGTTAAGCCACTTCTACACTACCTATTTTCTGTATGCAAATCAGACAGAAACAAATGTTTGGCCCCAGCTGGGCAAAATGTCCCATTTAGAATTCTTTTCCTCTTCTTTGTTCTTTGATGTTCTGCAAATGAGCTTTAGAACTCCACTCTTCACACAATTCAATTTTACAGACCCATTATCTGAGATATAATGTGGAGGTTAAATATATCAGGGCAGCCATTATGTGAAAATAATTAACAGTAATGAATAATGCACTAATTCCACTGATGAGAGATGGTTATATGTGTAATGAAGTGTTGGGGCAGCCCTGACAAATGAAATTAAAATATTTAAACACTGTTTTATGATATTACTTTGCTCATATAATTTCCTTTACCTACAATGAGCCACTTGGATTATCGTCATTATCTTGACAGCTCTGAAGGATGAAATAGTGCGGGTTAATGTGACAGCGATTAGTCAGAGGAAAAATCCATCACCCAGGGCAGAACAGGCTGAGGCAGAAAAGGCCTCTACACTGTCCTGTTTCCAACTCGAGAAGAATGATACTATCAACATCACTTCAATATTAAATGGATAGAATTATCTTGTCATTCAGTTACAGCCTCTGAAGAACTACCTATTTGCACCTGCAAAAGAAAGGTCAGCCTTTCTTAATCACCCATAAAAATATATTGATGGATTCTTTATATCAATAACAGTGACAGGAACAGAGACAGAAAAGAGATGTGACAATTTAAAAGCAAGAAGTTTTTCCCTCAAGTCTTTGCAGCCCTCTTTCCCCCACAATTTCTGCTCAAATTAAAATTGAATCTCCGGGTCCAACCTATTGAGAAGGACATTGTTGGCTGCTGACTGTCTTTACTCCAAAATTATTATGTCAGACTCCTAATTTGAAAGCAGATTCTACTTTTACTGAACTTTATTCCAGGAATATTCTTTGGAACAATCATTCCTAAGCCTATGTATAGCTGCCTTTCCAGATGCAGCAAGTTTGAATTTTAAAAAACCTGGGGATGTGATAATCTATCTGTTCTTCATTAAAACTGATACTAAGTTCACATTAATGAATATGACAGGAGAGGAAGTCATCGGCAACATGAGTGAGAACCATTGCGTCACCAATATCCATTCATGTTGTTATAGTTTTAGCTTATAAACTGACAATAGGGTATTATTTCCAAAAATCTTTTAACTATATAAAATATTTTTTAAACCCTTAAAAATTATAGTTTTCTCTTTTTTTGACTTCAAAACAATTATGAATGCATGGAGAAATTGCAGCCATTAGAACAGATTTCTAGAGAATTTTGATCCAGTGTTCTTCCTGTCTTTGATTACATGATGGCTTTCTTTGATTCTGCTCACAAGGGAGGAAAAAAAAACCAACAAGTTCATTTAAACAATAAGACTCAAGTTCTGTCCACTTTTCCTTAACTAGTTTCAATATGTTGGGAAACTTCCTACTCAGAAATGCATGATCATTTAGAGTGTGAATAGTGGCATGTTTCATTTGCCAGTATCTAAAGTGGAGTTCAAAGGTTGATCTCCTTTATGTCAAACCAAGTCCATTTTCTGAGTAACAAGAACAGCAGCTTTGCTGGCAGACCTTTCCTGACGTGTCCCTGCTAACACCAGGACACAACAGCACAGCAAGGAACAAGTCATATATTCACAATACTTTTCCAAATGTAAACTACTTCGCTCAGTATCTCCTCTGCTGTATAAATATAGTACAACACCACTGGAATAAACAAATACCAAGACAGTGTCATTTAGGGACTGAAATACTAATTATCATCTGGGCAGACAATCAAAATTTTTGGAGAACCAAACGCACAACATAAAAAAGCCTTGTTAACACTGATACTGAGGGAATAAGATAATACCTTGTAAAAGCTAAGATTAACTATGTAACATCAGCATATTTATAATTTAACCTGCAGTTAAATCACAATAGCAAGGCCCATTATGTAAGAGGTGGTGGTGTAGCTACTTGATAGATTTAGGTATATAGCTAATCTAATTTGCAACATCATTTTTGAATGTAATTCATTACCAACTCCTATTTCTACCTCAGCTATCCTTAAGGAAAAGCCAAAAAGGGAGAAAAGTGTGCACGACTCAAGAACAATCTATGTTTGCAAACTTGAAAAGTATATGACATCACATTTTTTTTTTTTTTTTTTTTTTTTTTTTTTTTTTTTTTTTTTTGAGACGGAGTCTCGCTCTGTCGCCCAGGCTGGAGTGCAGTGGCGGGATCTCGGCTCACTGCAAGCTCCGCCTCCCGGGTTCACGCCATTCTCCCGCCTCAGCCTCCCAAGTAGCTGGGACTACAGGCGCCCGCCACTACGCCCGGCTAATTTTTTGTATTTTTAGTAGAGACGGGGTTTCACCGTTTTAGCCGGGATGGTCTCGATCTCCTGACCTCGTGATCCGCCCGCCTCGGCCTCCCAAAGTGCTGGGATTACAGGCGTGAGCCACCGCGCCCGGCCATGACATCACATTTAATGTCTCTCTACCTCAATAGTAATATTTCCCAATAGGAAATAATTATTCAAAATAATATATATATCTCTTTCCTGCACTTCTTGCTTTTGGTTTGAAAAAAAAATACAATTTACTTCAATTATCTGACAATGAAGTGCCTGGGCAATAAATCCAACATTAAAAAATCATTTCCAGCAAATTACTCCAATAAAATCAATGAAGGTCAGGCTCAGCTGTAGCAACAAATAAATGACATGCTATTGACAGACTAGATGGACTTAATTGTCATTTATGAAGGTTAAGGGGATAAAACAATCTAATAGAAAGCAGATGTTTACTAAACAAAAAAAAAAAATGGAAGCAGGTGAAATAGATTGAGAAAGGTAAGTTAGGCATGAACAGCTTCAACAGTCTAGTCCCAGAGCAAAAATACAAGTTATTCTAATTCTCAGCAGCATGTGTGTTTGAGTAGTTCAATATTTATCTGCTTCAGGCTGCTTTGTGTTCTTTTATATATTGAAGTCATGAAACAGATTTTCTGCTAATAGAAAATGAAGAATTGATAAAATTGAGTAACGGTAGCCAGGTTAAAAGCAGTTTGACCCATTTCAAATTTCTAGTAGCTGCATCTGTAAAAACAGCAAACACTAGGAGAAGAAAGTTTTCCATCTCTCTAATATGGAAATAACTAGCTAATTGTGGCAATATTCTTTGCCAGGTATAAATCTAGATTGTGAATGTTAATATTAAGTTTAAAATGCATGTTTTCATGTAAGCACTAAGAAATAAATCTAGAAGGATCTTCCTGGCTGATCATTTTCCTCTCCTAATAAATTTTAGCAAGGTTTACAATGACATGGGTCAAACTGCTTTGTCTATACAGATTTCTGAGTACACTCTGAAACTTGCTTTCCCTGGGAATATCTAGCCAGGGTCTTTCCTCTTTCCTCATAATGAGCTCTGAGCTGTTGCTTTAATCTAAAAAAGAAAAAGAAAAGGAGAATCATTTTGAAAAGTTCCAGCTATCCTGGAAACTATACCTTCAAAGAATCTTTAAAAGTAAAAATAAAAAAGATCATAGATCATTGAATCCCACCGCTTCAACTTACAGAAGCAGAGAAAGAGAATCTTCTCAGGGTCTCAGATGTGTCTAGGTCAGAACTGACACCTACCTAGGTCACTAACTCCCAGGGCAAGGACCTTACCAAACCATAGTTCTTCTTGACCTAAAGTGTTAAAAAGGAAGAGGAAGTATTGTATGCTTCCTACAGACCACTGTTTTATAAAAATAAATGATCAACTGTTCTCAAGCGAGCCCACAAGTACGCGCTGAATTGATTAAAAGAGCAAGGACCAAATTATTCAAACGAAGAACTTTTCCTCTTCCCCCCAGAGCACATGAGCAACTCCGAAAGCATCTGGTCCTACTTCTCACATAGATAGTCCAGACACTCCCAACTCTTCAGAAAAAATAAAAAGAAAGGAAGAAGGGAGAGAGAAAAGAAAAGAAGTCTTTAAATTTGACCTAGTTGCCTCAAATTCTTTGAAGAAAATAAATAAGCAAATAAAAATCTTTCTACAACAAAATAAAATGAATGTGAATTTTACTTGCGTTTGGTAATATCTAAAAATTATTTTTGTCTTAGAAAAAGATTTGATTAGGGCATTTCTTAGAGAAAAAATAAAATTTTTGAAATCAAAAAAACAAAAACAGAAAAAAATGACATAGTAACGTAATTGGGACAATGTGAACAATATTTCATATTTTTTCTTTTAATGACTGTCCTCAATGTTGATAAACTAAAATCACTAAGCATTCTCTCAATTGTTAATTAAAAAGAATACTTGCTCAAAAGTCAAGCATTAGTTCCCAGTTCACATTCTTTATTATTAGACTTTATTTCAAGTACTATTTCATGTATGAGTACAATGTTAAAACAAAACCACCAAAAACAGTTTTATGCATTAAAGGCATGATTTATAAGAGTCAGCAGGGACTAACTATTCAACATTAGAGTTGGGAACTGCTCAGGCAAATTTCTGGTGAAGCTACTGCTTATTAAGAGAACTTCACCCATGAATATGCCTAAGGAGTGTTTTCCTGGAGAAAACCAAAGTGAGAAAGGGAATTTGTTTTTAAAATGAGAGTTACATTATAAATGTTTAATACCCCAAAAGTAATACATCTTCCTCAAATGTGGAAGACCTAAGTTCTGGAAGCTAAGGTTTAAGGAAATTGAGGATAATTTCTGACTCTCAGTAGCCCTGTTAATTCCATCCAAGTTGAAAGAAACTTTTTTCCTGTTTTTATTTCACGTGGACTTTATAAAGATGCATAAGTCTGGGTTTAACACCCTCAGCATATAGGTGCTAAAGAAATATAGAAAGGCTTGAACAAGATCCAAGAATAATCACAAATGGTTTAAGCTTCTCCCACTTTATTCCACCAACTGGCAATCCACTCCCAGGCACACCCACCATGAGAGTCAAGTGTATGAATTGAGACTATCTGCCATTTAACCATAATGTCAATACAAAAGATTTTCAAAACTTCCACCTGAGCACTGATTTCTCTCCCAAGATCCCATCACCTTTTTGATTTCTACCACGATGGCTTCAAAATCAACCTATTGGAGACAGAAATCATCACCTTCCACAGAACAAATATCTTCCAGAAAATTTTCTATTTCTCCTAATGGCACGAACATCCTCACTTCAACTTCTCCAGCCTTTTCTCTTCCCCAAGCAATCACCTACCAGCTCCTATTAAATGTCACACGAGCACTAGCCCATTTCCTTTCATTTTTATTTTTATCACACTAATGTGGCTCAGCCCACGTTACTTTGTAGAAACATAGTATACCAAAAGATAGGCCTCCAATCTTTTCTCCTTCCACACAGTCTGTCCTGAACATGCCTGCAAGATTTAAATTTGACTATAGATTACAAGCTTTATTCCAGACCCTCACATTTGTTTCCCATTTTTCCCAACCAACCAAAAGAGTTTTCCTCCCAGTTTTCTCCACAGGACCCCTTTTCTCTCATCATACACCTTTTCCCTCACCATGTCCTTGCTCAGTGCTTTGCCCTGAAAAATGGAGACTCTCACACTGTGCGCCCCCACAAGTGCTGAATTGCCCCCTCTCCATCACTGCCCATCCAAATCTTACCCATTTATCAAGGCCAGCTGAATGGACTCCCCTCATGCAGCTTTTTCCTGCTGTCTCTGTCCAGAAATGATTAATTAACTTTGCATTCATTTAACATTGACATAATGTCTACCATGTGAATGATACCACTTTCGGTGCCAAGTGAAGATGAAAAGGAAAGAGTTGGAAAAGCCTCTTAACATTACAGAAGTAGAGAAGTTTGGTTCTCAAATATCTTTCTGGTATTAGGTAGGAAGTGAGAAGCACCATAAGGAAAGAGCTGCTGAAAGCCACGGAGGCTTAAGGGAGGCAGAAAGCTCTAAAGCCACTAAAGTGGAGGTGACATTTGCATTTGAAAATGAGGGATAGGCAAGGAGCTTTTTGCTGGAAAGCCTGTGCTGCAGCATTCCCTAGCCTGGGTTCTGCTGCTGAGCCTCATCATCTGTGTGAGCACACAGTTTAATTACCTAAATAGGGCCCTGGATATATTCAACACTTTCATCATGACTCCAATGTATTATGCAATCTTTACAACATCAGTTTTAACTTGTACAGCTATCCTTTTTAAGGAGTGGCAAGTTATGCCTGTTGATGACATCATTGGTACTTTGAGTGGCTTCTTTACAATAATTGTGGGGATATTCTTGTTGCATGCCTTTAAAGATGTCGGCTTTAGTCTAGCAAGTCTCCCTGTGTCTTTTTGAAAAGACGAGAAAGCAATGAAGGCAATCTCTCTAATATGCATGAAGTTCTTAAGAAGCTTAACCATTCAGTATGATATTGGCTGTGGGTTTGTCATAAATAGCTCTTATTATTTTGAGATACGTCCCATCAATACCTAATTTATTGAGAGTTTTTAGCATGAAGGGCTGTTGAATTTTGTCAAAGGCCTTTTCTGCATCTATTGAGATAATCATGTGGTTTTTGTCTTTGGTTCTGTTTATATGCTGGACTACGTTTATTGATTTTCGTATGTTGAACCAGCCTTGCATCCCAGGGATGAAGCCCACTTGATCATGGTGGATAAGCTTTTTGATGTGTTGCTGGATTCGGTTTGCCAGCATTTTATTGAGGATTTTTGCATCAATGTTCATCAAGGATATTGGTCTAAAATTCTCTTTTTTTGTTGTGTCTCTGCCAGGCTTTGGTATCAGGATGATGCTGGCCTCATAAAATAAGTTAGGAAGGATTCCCTCTTTTTCTATTGATTGGAATAGTTTCAGAAGGAATGGTACCAGCTCTTTGTACCTCTGGTAGAATTCGGCTGTGAATCATCTGGTCCTGGGCTTTTTTTGGTTGGTAAGCTGTTAATTATTGCCTCAATTTCAGAGCCTGTTATTGATCTATTCAGAGATTCAACTTCTTCCTGGTTTAGTCTTGAGAGAGTGTATGTGTCAAGGAATTTATCCATTTCTTCTAGATTTTCTAGTTTATTTGCATAGAGGTGTTTATAGTATTCTCTGATGGTAGTTTGTATTTCTGTGGGATCGGTGGTGATATCCCCTTTGTCATTTTTTATTACGTCTATTTGATTCTTCTCTCTTTTCACTTTGAAAACTGGCACAAGACAGGGATGCCCTCTCTCACCACTCCTATTCAACATAGTGTTGGAAGTTCTGGCCAGGGCAATCAGGCAGGAGAAGGAAATAAAGGGTATTCAGTTAGGAAAAGAGGAAGTGAAATTGTCCCTGTTTGCAGATGAAATGATTGTATATCTAGAAAACCCCATCGTCTCAGCCCAAAATCTCCTTAAGCTGATAAGCAACTTCAGCAAAGTCTCAGGATACAAAATCAATGTGCAAAAATCACAAGCATTCCTATACACCAATAACAGACAAACAGAGAGCCAAATCATGAGTGAACTCCCATTCGCAATTGCTTCAAAGAGAATAAAATAACTAGGAATCCAACTTACAAGGGATGTGAAGGACCTCTTCAAGGAGAACTACAAACCACTGCTCAATGAAATAAAAGAGGACACAAACAAATGGAAGAACATTCCATGCTCATGGGTAGGAAGAATCAATATCGTGAAAATGGCCATACTGCCCAAGGTAATTCATAGATTCAATGCCATCCCCATCAAGCTACCAATGACTTTCTTCACAGAATTGGAAAAAACTACTTTTAAGTTCATATGGAACCAAAAAGGAGCCCACATTGCCAAGACAACCCTAAGCCAAAAGAACAAAGCTGGAGGCATCATGCTACCTGACTTCAAACGATACTACAAGGCTACAGTAATCAAAACAGCATGGTACTGGTACCAAAACAGAGATATAGACCAATGGAACAGAACAGAGCCCTCAGAAATAATGCTGCATATCTACAACAATCTGATCTTTGACAAACCTGACAAAAACAAGCAATGGGGAAAGGATTCCCTATTTAATAAATGGTGCTGGGAAAACTGGCTAGCCATATGTAGAAAGCTGAAACTGGATCCCTTCATTACACCTTATACAAAAATTAATTGAAGATGGATTAAAGACTTAAATGTTAGACCTAAAACCATAAAAACCCTAGAAGACAACCTAGGCAATGCCATTCAGGACACAGGCATGGGCAAGGACTTCATGTCTAAAACACCAAAAGCAATGGCAACAAAAGCCATAATTGACAAATGGGATCTAATTAAACTAAAGAGCTTCTGCACAGCAAAACAAACCACCATCAGAGTGAACAGGCAACCTACAGAATGGGAGAAAATTTTTGCAATCTACTCATCTGACAAAGGGCTAATATCCAGAATCTACAATGAACTCAAACAAATTTACAAGAAAAAAACAACCCCATCAAAAAGTGGGCGAAGGATATGAACAGACACTTCTTAAAAGAAGACATTTATGCAGCCAAAAAACACATGAAAAAATGCTCATCATCACTGGCCATCAGAGAAATGCAAATCATAACCACAATGAGATATCATCTCACACCAGTTAGAATGGCGATCATTAAAAAATCAGGAAACAACAGGTGCTGGAGAGGATGTGGAGAAATAGGAACACTTTTACACTGTTGGTGGGACTGTAAGCTAGTTCGACCATTGTGGAAGTCGGTGTGGTGATTCCTCAGGGATCTAGAACAGAAATACCATTTGACCCAGCAATCCCATTACTGGGTATATACCCAAAGGATTATATATCATGCTGCTATAAAGACACATGCACACGTATGTTTATTGCGGCACTATTCACAAGAGCAAAGACTTGGAACCAACCCAAATGTCCAACAATGATAGACTGGATTAAGAAAATGTGGCACATATACACCATGGAATACTATGCAGCCATAAAAAATGATGAGTTCATGTCCTTTGTAGGGACATGGATGAAGCTGGAAACCATCATTCTCAGCAAACTATCGCAAGGACAACAAACCAAACAACGCATGTTCTCACTCATAGGTGGGAATTGAACAATGAGAACACATGGACACAGGAAGGGAGACATCACACACTGGGGCCTGTTGAGCGTGGGGGGGGAGGGGGGAGGGATAGCATTAGGAGATATGCCTAATGCTAAATGACAAGTTAATGGGTGCAGCACACCAACATGGCACATGTATACGTATGTAACAAACCTGCACGTTGTGCACATGTACCCTAAAACTTAAAGTATAGTAATAAAAAAAAAAGAAGCCTAACCTGTGGAATCAAACAAAACACTGGTGAAAATATCTCCCAAGGAAATGGAAATCTGACAGCTTTTAAGAAATATGTAATTAAAAGATTAATCTGTGGGGAAAAAAAAGAACATGAGGGATAGGAAGCTTTTGGACAAGTGGAGATGGAGAGAAAAGGCATTTTCTGTATAGAAAATTGGACACAAGAGCATTCTAGTGAATAGCAAAGTATATTCAAAGGGCAATGGCCTTCCTATAAATTCTCTAATATTAGTTTTAATGGCAAAAACAGCAATTACTTTTGTACTAGCCTAATATTCTCCTTTACTTGTGGAGTGTAACATAGTTACGGCCATAATAAGAATGACATATGGGCATATTGTATTTTACATAATGTCCTTACTCTGCAAAAGTATTATTAGCCCCATTTTATAGATAAGAAGGCAAAATGACTTAGCTAAGACCATACATTCTACTAAGTTATAGAGGTGGCATTTGAACCTGAGCCTGTCTGATTCAAAAATGCTTTACTCTTTTCATCATGCCATGGATCACACATGATTGATCACGCAAAGATGAATAAAATACAGTTCTCATATTTAAGAAAGTCTTTGGTCCAGTGGAGGACCAATGCTTAGTACTTATTACTTGCAGCCTAATATGCTAACAATGGCAGCTAGGAAAGCCTTATTTCCATGGTCTTACTTTAAGTTCTCATCCTATCTGGACGAACTTGTCTGCTTGCTAAAGATCTGATTCTGCATCCTGCCCTCAGAGACAGCTTTCTAAAACACAAATCAAAATATATCTCTTCCCTGTACAAATGCCTTCAGGGACTCTCCACCTGCAAAAGAAAGTCCAAATCTCACAATCTCACCTACAAGTCGACTGACATCTCAGGAGCCTGGTGTAAGCTACCTTTTTCCAATGTTATCTCCTCCACAGGCAGCCAACATCTCAGCCAGAATAAGCAACTTCTAACTCCCCTTTTGTGTCTCCAGTACTGTTCCATCTCCCTTTATGCCCCTTCTCTGCCTTGTCCCCCTTAAAAACTGGTCATCACTCAGAGTAAAGTTTAACTATCATTTCCTCTGAGAAGCCTCTCTGCCCCTGCTCATGTGTTAATGAGCATATATGACTCTGAATCATAATTATTTGTGAATTTTTATTTCCACACTGGACCATAGAATCCTTTGGATGTACAGCATACAACCAAATTCCAGACCCATAATTGGACCTGAAAAAGTGTTTGTTAAATGAATTGACAGTAAAAATAAATGGTACATTAATCAATGGATAGTAATACTGAGTAGGGAGAAGTTTAATTGCATAAGTAAAATAGTGCTGTTATATGCCATTGCATAGTAGTAGGGAATGCTACTATTATATGTGTAACATATAACATACACCTCGTCATACACCTTTTCCCTCACCATGTCCTTGCTCAGTGCTTTGCCCTGAATAATGGAGACTCCTGCACTGTGCACCCCCACAAGTGCTGAATTGCCCCCTCTCCATCACTGCCCATCCAAATCTTACCCATTTCTCAAGGCCAGCTGAATGGACTTCTCTCAGCTGTTATATGCCATTGCATAGTAGCAGGCAACTAGAAATGTAGCTTAGGCAAATAAAATAAGACTTAAAATAAGTCTTAAAACTTCTGTTAAAATTTAATATGTCATTCCCCAGTAAATCACCTGCAATACAAATAATTATCTAAACCGTAGCCTTTTCACTTAGCACTATGTAAAAATGATAAGATGCAGGAACATACACTACATAGTCACAATTCCATTCATCTAACTACAAAGTGAAACCACATCCTTTAATGATAATTACACTTCACCTACAATGTATATACACAGAACATGAAGCACATATGGTGGGCTCTGATGACAGTTCCCTGTTCATTCTCACAAGGAATAGTTGATGACCCTTAGTGTTAGTTCTATATAGATGCTCTTCTGTGGGTACTAAACTGCTTCTTGCATTTCACACTGGCTTACACTGGGATATCTAATTTTTGCCTCTTTATTTCTAACTATAGAAATTCCTTAGTCTTTGCTAATGCATTTGTTCAAAGCAATGTCATTAAGTATTTAGCCTATATCAATCAGATACCAAGAAAGGATTTCTTCTCTTCAATAAATTTTGATTTTCTCCAATGTGCTTTGCAAAATGCTGGGACCTGCCTTCCTAGGTCTAAAGTACAGCCCTGTGGTGCCAGAGCTATCTGGTCATCTGTCTAAACCCAAGTTCATTGGCCGAGCATGCAGCCCAGCCTGCATCCTCCCAGTTGCCAGCAGCATTCTTTCTTACAGCAACAGGAAGAAACTTAACACCTTGTGTGATGGAAAGAATAATTTCCTGCTTAGGATCTGAGCTGAAATCCTTGGCATTGGACCTCTGATGAGAGGTCCTTGGTAAAAGCAGTAGCTGGTAGATTTTTTTTTTTTTTTTTTTTTTTTTTGAGATGAATTCTCGATCTGTCGCCCAGGCTGAAGTGCAATGGTGCGATCTCAGCTCACTGCAACCTCACCCTCCTGGGTTCAAGCGATTCTCCTGCCTCCTGCCTCAGCCTCCTGGGTAGCTGGGATTACAAGCACCCACCACCATGCCCTGCTAATTTTTGTGTTTTTAGTAGAGACAGGGTTTCACCATGTTGGTCAGGCTGGTCTCAAATTCCTGACCTCAGGTGATCTGCCCACCTCAGCCTCCCAAAGTGCTGATGTTACAGGCGTGAGCCACCGCGCCCAGTTGGATAGCTCTTTTATGAAGCCATTTCATGCCGAATATTGGTAGGTGATCCAATCACAACTTAAAAAGAAAGATCTAATGATCAACTTTATGAACCATCAAATATAAGCACATTTGCAAAACTGTACTATTTTCATATCTGATTGTTAAATGGTACAGGGTGGAACAACTTTGAGGTAAACACTGCCTTCAAATTTCAGGCTTTTAATATGCAAGATGCAGAAAATGTGATGAAATTTTTCAAGGACGATGTTGTAACCTGTGGTTTAAGGAATACCTTTGGATTGATAAACAGTTTTTGTTAAGGTGAGTATAATTATGATAACTTGCCTGGAGAGAGGAAGACCGAGTCACTACTTGATCACTGTCATATATAACCTACAGGGGATTTTCATCGAAAATGTGGCATGGGGTGACACAACCAAGCCAAGACATAACCCTGAGTGTCATTCAAGCCATGGTTTTAAAAAAAAATTAACATTTATATAGGCACAGAGAACACACTAGCAGTAAGTACAGTGTCGTTATACAAAGATCATTCCAGTTCCCACTGTTTTCAGATACAGTCTTCTTCCACAAACCTCACCTGCTGATTGGCAAATTGAGCCAACTGTAAAAGATGGCTGTCAGACAAACACAATTGCTCATATATCTAATCAGGTTTCTTCAAGAGAAGGATTTGTTTCACTTAGATTTAAATGAGCAGGCTTACTGCCTCAAGGGCAAACTGGTATTGACTGCATTCTCCCTACACTCCCAGTTGATTGGAAATTGCAGCTCTGGAGTATTGTGGGTGTATTTTAACAATTATTTTTACTTAAAATATTTAAAAATAGTAGGGAAAAAAAGAATCACACATCCTCCAAAGTAAAAATAGATAAATAAATTGTAGAGGATATCCAGAATAAATTCATCTTCAACTGAGATTTTAAAAATAAAAATTTAGCCGGGCATGATGGCTCACACCTGTAATCCTAGCACTTCGGGAGGCCGAGGAGGGTGGATCACCTGAGGTCAGGAGTTCGAGACTAGCCTGGCCAACATGGTGAAACCCCGTCTTTCCTAAAAATACAAAAAATTAGCCGGCGTGATGGTGGGAGCCTGTAATCCCAGCTACTCCAGAGGCTGAGGCAGGAGAATCGTTTGAAACCAGGAGGCGGAAGTTGCAGGGAGCCAAGATCTCACCATTGCACTCCAGCCTGGGAAACAAAAGCAAAACTCCATCTCAATAAATAAATAATTAAAAAAGATAAAAAATAAATAAAAAATAAAAAATTAGTTTATTCTTATCCAAATTATTTCATTCAAGGTCCTCAATGCATTCTGGAAATTCTTGATATGATTATGATAATTTGATAAGAAGACTATGATACGATGATGGCACCTTTCACTCTACCCAGAGCCAGGTGAATAGGGGAGTCAAAACTGCTCATCAATTGTTTTCCACTGCCTACACCAATTCACAAACAAGTAAGAAGGTGAACTTAAATGAAAAGAATAATGATGTCTTCAAAAGGCCAGAAAGAGTGCACATAAACTTCTTCAGCAATGAAATTAAGATTTCCCACATACAGTTTGTTTTAGGATGCACTTAGCTGCAAATATCAGAAAGCCCAACTGATAGAAGCTTAAATAAAGGAAAGCATTTGATTACCTCACATGACAAGAAGTCTGGAGGTGAGTGGTTCCAGAACTGGCTCAAGAGCTCAATGAAGTCAGGAAGCTGGGCCAGCATCCATGCCACTGTGGGCCTTGCACTTTCAGGAAAAAGAGAGCTGCTTCACCTCCAAGCATCTCACACTCAGAGAGCAGTGATCTGAGCGGGACAAAAGCCTGGAATTATTAATATTGCTAAACAAACAAAACTGGAATTCTGTTAGCAAGAAAGAAGAGGGAATGGCTGTTATAAAGTAGGATTCACAGGGGCTAGGGATACTCTGCACTCTAAGTGTTCTCACAAACCTACATTTGAAATCAATAAATTCCTCATGTCTGACACTACAATCCCCCAATCCACGTGGCTCTTTGAAAAACCTCATTAGAATTTTCCCATCCATCAACCTAGTTCCCTCTGTGTATTTCCAGGAATTTATCCATTTCCTCTAGATTTTCTAGCTTGTGTGCATAGAGATGTTCATAGTAGTCTCCGAGAATCGTTTGTATTTCTGTGGGATTCACTGTGATGTCACCATTGTTATTTCTGATTGTGCTTATTTAGATCTTCTCTCTTTTTCTTTGTTAATCTAGCTAGCGGTCTATCTATCTTGTTTATCCTTTAAAATAACAAATGTTTCATTTATTTTTTGTATGTTTTTTTTTTGAGGTCTCAGTTTCATTTAGTTCTGCTCTGATTTTAGTTATTTCTTTTCTTATGCTAGCTTTGGCTTTAGTGTGTTCTTATTTTTCTAGTTCCTCTACATGTGAGATTAGGTTGTTGATTTAGACCTTTCTATCTCCTTCTGCCTAAAGAAAAGATAAACTTTCCATGTAAAGTTTTTCCACATCAAAAACAGTAATGCAAGGAACCAGTAGCAAGTTCAAAACAAATGACAGGATGGCTTGATCACAGGGGAGGCTGTAAACTGATAGTTCACTGAAGGAATGACATTGCTTTTCTAAGACTGCAGAGTTAGTTGGAAGCAAAACTGGTAGCAGAACCAAAATAGCTAGAATTACTGCTCTATACTCACCTCTCTGTTCAATCATCAGTTCACACATCTCTACTCACACTCCATCATCAATTCAAACATTAACAATTAAATGTTAATATTTTCCCATTTAAAAACTGGTAAATATCCAGATAGGTAGGTAGATCGATAGACAGACAGACGGACGGACAGGCAGGCAGACAGACAGACAGATAATCCCCCCACTGGTAATTCTGCATTCATTTTTTCCTGGAGTTGTAAACTGTCAGGCAATATTTGTTTACTGCAGACATTTTCAACAAGGAAAATATTAAAAACTTACAAGGTTATGTTTTAATGGTCAGAAAATTACTTTTAAAAATTATAGCTGTATTTTTGACATCTGAAAACATATGAAGGCCTGAGTTTCCAGGACATCTTGAACCAAAATAGATTTGTATTTAAAAGTGAAAGTCAAGGTTCCAGGAAAAAAAATGTAATCAAGTAGAAATATTCAATAAGATGACAATATTGCTAAAAGGAAGTAAAATGACAAATTGATATTACTTTGAACAAGCCATAGAAAAGGCCAGTAATTGATTATATTCTAACCAATAATAAGTCAGAGATATTTCACTTTCAAAATTCTTACTTTGGTAGCTAAGAATACAAAGCCCTCTAAAAAAACAAATCTTGTCTTTATGTTAGTTTTATTATTATTCAGAGTTCAGAACTCATTCCTTTGAGGCAGTTTTTAGGATTGTAAAAGTTAAGCTATGGCATGGATTAAAAATATGGATTTTGGTTTCAAAGATAATTGAATTTGAATGTCTATTCTACCATTTACTAGCTAATACCAGTTACTGAGTATTCTGAGCCACTTTAAAAAAAAACATGAAAAATGACAATGAATAAAATAGTTAATTTGTTGGAATGTTAAAGAATTTGAAAGTATATATAAATCACTTGGTACATGGTAGGCACTCAGAAAAGAGTAGCCATTCATAACAATAAGAGAAGATAGTGCAAATTTGTAAAAGGAGAGTTTCACAACTTCCTGCAATTGCAAACAGATGTCTATAAGAGTAGGGACCCCTTAAACAGAAAATGCACTTTGGGTGAACCAGGCTTCAGTATATTTTCAACTCTTCCCACGTGAGATAGCTTGGATTATTGCTCAGAAATATTCTCTCCCTCCACCTTACTTTCAGAAGAGGGTTATATTTCCCATTTCATTGACATTGGTCTTGACCATGTGACTTGTTTCAGCGAATGGGATGTCAGCAAACATGAGGCAAAGAGGCTCTTAACAGTCCAGCAATTGGCTTGCTTTCCTAGCCTCGCCATTGACCTTAAAAGAAATGCATGGACTAGCCAATTCGTCACTGAAGCTCCAAGAGAGACACTTAATGCCCATACAAGCTGCCTTCAGTGAGCCCAGCCTAGATTTTTTTTAATCCTCAACACACAGATACACAAGTGAGCCCAGCTGAACATAGTCTAGATTGTCTAGATTAGCAAAACCACACTAACATAAAAATAAATATTAACTTTGTACTACTGAGTTGTGGGGACAGTTTCTTTATTTTTTTTTTTTTCGAGACGGAGTCTAGCTCTGTCGCCCAGGCTGGAGTGCAGTGGCGCTATCGCGGCTCACTGCAAGCTCCGCCTCCGGGGGTTCATGCCATTCTCCTGCCTCAGCCTTCCGAGTAGCTGGGACTACAGGCGCGTGCCACCAGGCCGGCTAATTTTTTGTATTTTTAGTTGAGACGGGGTTTCACCGTGTTAGCCAGGATGGTCTCAATCTCCTGACCTCGTGATCCAACCGCCTCGGCTTCCCAAAGTGCTGGGATTACAGGCATGAGCCACCGCGCCCGGCCGTGGGGACAGTTTCTTAAGCAGCAATTCTCTGGCAATAACTTGCTTATATGCCAAATTTATACTATCATACTTGGAGAATTGCTGTGGGCACATTCATCCATTCATGCAATGGTATTTATTTAAGACATATTTCTCGAAGTTACCATGTGCTAGAACTGTACTACCTATGGAATTAGACTAGCAAACATATGGGCACAACCCTGAGTCTAGGCATGTATTTAGGATCACTGGCTTCAGCTGGAAAACTGATTCTTCAAATGGTTCCTGTAGGCAAATATTACTGAGGATTTCAAATAGCAATTTTAAAATGAGAAAACAAATATAAAATTATAACATATTTATTTCTTCCTTCTTCTCGCGCAGAATGTAACGTAACAGCAAATTTCTCTCAATTAGGTCCTTTGTATCCCCCGAAAACGGTAAATATTTTTTGCCTCTCAAGTGAAGTTGAGGAGGATAGTTGTTCTCAGTGAACAAAAGCAAACAATTTTAGCAAATATTCAAAGCAAGGTGAATTGTTGATTTGTTTAATGGAATCAGAACTAGACTTTTTATGAATATGTTTAATAACTTATTCTTGTGTATTCTTAATATGTTTAATAAGCTTATTAAATATATTTAATACAATATTTTCATGTTTTCCATAAACTTTTTTCCCTTTAAATAAGAGTTTAGCCTCAATGCTAACCTTGCATCAGATTGGGTCAGTAGGCACACCCTCCAGCTACAACTTATAGACGTGATAAAATTCCAGACGCTAGATTAATGATATTAAAAATTATGTTTAAATATGCAGCCAAGCTGAAAAGGAAGGTAAGACCTCTAGAAACAGGAATGAAGGGGGAACTCGAAGCCAGGGTAGCGGTTTCATTAAAAATGCCAGATGCATTTTAAAGCCAGGTATGATCATAAGAACTGTGGGATTGCAGTTTTAATGACAATGCAAAGACAAGAAATGTTACCATGGGAGAAGAGCTGAGATGAAGATCATTTAATAAAGCCAATATCCTTAAAAGCTCACCCAATCACTGAAAAGAAATTTTTAAAAATTCTACCTATTGGCTTGTAGATGTAGTTAAGACTGATGTATGTCCCTGTTTCTGGTGAATTCTTGATTTTTTTTTTTTTTTTTTTTTTAAAGAGGCCAGGCACAGTGGTTCATGCCTGTAATCCCAGCACTTTGGGAGGCCAAGGAGGGTGGATCACGAGGTCAAGAGATCGAGACCATCCTGGCCAACATGGTGAAACCTGTCTCTACTAAAAATACAAAAAATTAGCTGGACATGGTGGCAGGCGCCTGTAGTCCCAGCTACTTGGGAGGCTGAGGCAGGAGAATCACTTGAACCTAGGAGGCAGAGGTTGCAGTGAGCCGAGACTGTGCCACTGCACTCCAGCCTGGCGACACAGCAAGACTCCATCTAAAAAAAAAAGGAATCTTTTTCTCCACAACCTCACCAGCATCTGTTATTTTTTTACTTTCCAATAATAGCCATTCTGACTGGTGTTAGATGGTATCTCATTGTGGTTTTGAGTTGCATTTCTCTAATGATCATTTATGTTGAGGTTTTTTTTTTCATGTATGTCTTTGTTTGAAAAGTGTCTGTTCATGTCCTTTGCCCACTTTTTTTTGTGCAGTTGTTTGGTTTTTTCTTCTCAGTTTAAGTTCTTTAAAGATGCTGAATATTAGACCTTTGTCGGATGCATAGTTTGCAAAAATGTTCTCTCATTCTTTGGGTTATTTGTTTACTCTGTTGATAGTTTCTTTTGCTGTGCAGAAGCTGTTTAGTTTAATTAATTACCAATGAAGTTATGATAAGAAAAACAAAAACAGTAAACTGTATTTGAAGACAAATTGTGTATGTGTGTGTTTTTCTTATAACCCTCTCACCTAATTTCTGCTAACCATAGGACATAATTTATATTGATATTTATCATTCATTTTTCACCAGGTCTGGAATGAGAATGTGTTGTGCATGACTGTGCAATGCTATTATCCTAAACCAATAGATAAGTTTCATTATGCTACTACAGTTTGTTTTTATAGCTTACATTAATAAAAGGGTAAAGAAGAACAAGAAAAAAAAGGAATCAGAAGCAAATGATCAGATATTTTTTCTTAATATAGTTGAATAAAATATTATGCCTAAACTTTCTTTTCTCTTTTAAAGAATAGTTTAGTCTCAGTGCTGACATCATGGCAGATTGAGAAAAAAAATATGCATAAAAATGAAACTTCCAACCTTATACTTTGCACGGTTATGGAGGGCTAACTGCTATCCCTGTGGTGTTGGAATCCCAAACTGAGAAATTAAAACCTCTAACATCTTGGCAAAAATTGTGCAGTTGCAACATAGGAAAATATATTCAACCCAAGGCACATGAAACTTTCCAAGAAAAGAAAGAAAAAAAAAATATCTGCCAAACAGGGAGGGTCAGCAGATGTAACAAATGAGAAAATAGCACTACAAAAAAATAATTTGAAGAAAAAAATTTAAAATGTGCTTAATATAATAAGCAAGTAACAAAGAGAAACCATGATAAAATATGACTAATGAAGTAGAATTTCTAGAAGAAAATCTCTCAAGCTGGAAAGGCAGCAGAGGGAATTACCCACTGAAAAGGCCAAAAAAGAAATTATACTTATAGAAGCCAAAAGACATTGAAATAATAACTTCAAGTAGTTGGTAAAAATAACTGTCAAATTAAAATTCTATAGCCAGCAAAGCTACAATTTTTAAAGGAACAAAAATGAAAACACATTAAGACAAAGAAACACTAAAAATTTTACCTTTTAGAGATAATACTCAATAAAAAACAAAAAAAATCAAAAGGCACACTTCTATTAAAAAGAAATTAAATTCAGAAGGAAGGAGTAGTATGTGAAGAAAATGGTATGTAAAGGAATTGTAAAAATGTAAGTGAATCTAAAGAAAGAATAATTCCTAAGATCCAGGAATACTACTTGTAATAATAATCAAGTATGTTGAAGGCATTATAAACAAGATGAAAGTAAAATATTGAACAACAATAATATAAAATGTCAGTGGTAGATTACAATTAAAATATTATAAGAATATTGTTGTTCAATAAGAGGTTTAGAATATTTACTGTTTCAGATATTATTAAATCAACTACACATGGTAAAAGGCAATTAAGTGCAATTGCCACAAGAATAGACATTGAATGTATAACTTCCAAAGTTAAAAGGAGAGATAAAAAGCAAAATAAAAACAAAAACAATAAAAGCCTCAATACAATTAAAAATAGAAAAAAATTAAAAAGCATAATAAATGCAAAACACAAAATAAGATGTTATAAATTAGTACTCCCCAAATCAGTAATAATACTAAATGTAAATGGATTAAACTCCCTTGTTGACTTTCTCCCTGACTTACAATGGTTTGACTTACCAGTTTTTGATTCGACAATAGTATGGAAGTGATATGCATTCAGTATACTCCTCAACTTATGATGGGATTTATCCATATGTAACCCCATCATAATTCATGAAGCATCTGTACTCAGATTAGAACAAAATTTTAAAAATAAACATCACAATCCGGATTTACAATAGAAGTGCCAAAACACAACAAAAGAAAAATATTGAGTATAAAGTAATGAAATATGCACATATATTTGGTAAAAAACTAAAATATAATAAAACTAGTCAGGCAATACTAAAATAAAACACAGTAAAAATTAAGGCAAAACCAATTTTTATGGCTAAAGATATATATTTCTTAAACATAAAAATACATTTACCTGACAGATGTAACAATCCCAGATATTTATGCATCCAACAATAGAGCCACAGAGTATATAAAGTCAAAAATCCCTGATTATAAGGAGAGCTGGGCCAAGCCACCATCAGAACAGGGTCTTTTTTAAAAAACACATTTCTTCCAAAAATGTGTACATTCAGGCATTTAAGAAACAAACAAATATGGAAAAGATTTGAATAACACTAGACGTATATGGAACCTCATATCTCACAATCAGTGGACACACACTTTTTTTAGGCATACACACAACATTTTAAAAAATCAACTATGTTCTAGACCACGTAGGAAGTATCAGTAAATTAAAAAGAATCAATTTTCTTGATGACATATGATGTATAGCATCTTTTCACATGCTTATTTACTGTCTATACCTTTTCTTTGATGGGGAGTCTGTTAAGGTCTCTCAACCCATTTTTTCAGTCAATTGTTGGTTATGTTGAATTTTAAGAGTTACTTTGATATTTTACGTAACAGTCCTTCATCAGATACGTCTTTTGAAAACATTTTCTTCTAGTCTGTGGCTTGTCTTTTTCTTATCTTTGCAGTGTCTTTTGTAGAACAGAAACTTTCCGTTTTAGCAAAGGCCAGTTTATCCATTCTTTTTCTCTCATGGATTACACCTTTAGTGTTGCATCTAAAAACTCCTTGCCAAACCCAAGGTCATCGAGATTTTCTCCTATGTTATTTTCTAGGAATTTTATAGTTTTGTGTTTTACATTTAGGTCTGTGATCCATTTTGAGTTAATTTTTGTGAACAGTGTGAGGTCTGTGTCTAGGTACATCTTAATTTTAGCATGTAGATGTCAAGAATATCTTTTCTTCACTGTATCACCTTTGGTCTTTTGTCAAAGATTAATTGACTATGTCTGTGTAAGTCTATTTCTGGGCTTTTATTCTGTTCCATTTATCTATTTGTCTATTCTTTCTTCAATACTACACTGTCTTGGTTGCTGTTGCTTTATAGTTAAGCCTTGAAATCAAGTAATGTCAGTCATCCAACTTTGTTCTTCTCTTTCAATATTGTGTTGGCTATTCTGGGTGTTTTTCCCCTTCATACAAACTTTAAAATCAGGGAAATAGGTCATCAGGGAAATGCACATTAAGGCAACAATAAGATAAAACTACACATATATTAAAATGGCCAATACCCAGAACACTGGCAACACCAAATGCTGATGAGGATGTGGAGCAACAAGAACTCTCATTCACTGCTGGGCAGAACACAAAATGATACAGCTACTTTGTAAATTGGTTTAGTAGTTTCATACAAAGTTAAATGTACTCATGCCATACAATCCAGCAAATCTCACTCTATGGTAGTTACCAAAAGGAGTTGGAAACTTACATTCATACAAATACTTGTACACAGATGTTTATAGCAGCTTTATTCATAACTGCCAAAACTTGGAAGCAACTAAGTTATCTTTCAGTAGGTAAACAGGTAAACTGTGACACATCCAGACAATGGAATTCATTTAGTGCTAAAAAGAACTACCAAGCCACAAAAAACATATGAAGGAAACGTTAAGTGCATATTGCTAAGTGAAGCCAGTCTGAAAATGCTATCTACTACATGATTCCAACTCCATGGCACTCTAGAAAAGCCAAAACTGTGGAGTCAGTATAAAGATTAGTGGTTTCCAGAGGTTAGAGGGGAAGGGGGAATAAATAGGCAGAGCACAGAGGATTTTTAGAGCAGTGAAACTACTCTGTATGATACTACAATGGTGAACACATGTTATACATTTATCCAAACGCATAGAATGCACAACATTGAGAGTGAACCTTAACATAAACTATGGTCTTTGGATGATAATGATGTGTCAGTGTGGTTCATCGATTGCAACAAATGAACCACTACAGTAGGGTTGTTGATAATGGGAGAGGCTATGCATGTTGGGGGATAGAGATATATGGGATATCTCTGTACTTTCCATTACATTTTGCTCTGAACCTAAAACTGCTTTAAAAAAATAGTCTACTATATTTATGCAGCCAATATACATGAAAAAAAGCTCATCATCACTGGTCATTAGAGAAATGCAAATCAAAACCACAGTGAGATAACATCTCATACCAGTTAGAATGACAATTACTAAAAAAGTCAGAAAACAACAGATGCTGGTGAGGCTGTAGAGAAATAGGAACAATTTTACACTGTTGGTGGGAGTGTAAATTAGTTCAACCATTGTGGAAGACAGTGTGGTGATTCCTCAAGGATCTAGAACCAGAAATACCATTTGACCCAGCAATCCCATTACTGGGTATATACCCAAAGGATTATAAATCATTCTACTATAAAGACATATGCACATGTATGTTTATTGCAGCACTACTTACAATAGCAAAGATGTGGAACCAACCCAAATGCCCATCAATGATAGACTGGATAAGGAAATGCGGCACATATACACCATGGAATACTATGCAGCCATAGAAAAGAATGAGTTCATGTCCTTTGCAGGGACATGTATGAAGCTAGAAGCCATCATTCTCAGCAAACTAACACAGGAACAGAAAACCAAACACCACAGATTCTCACTCATAAGTGGGAGTTGAATGATGAGAGTGCATGAACACAGGGAGGGGAACATCACACACAGGGGCCTATGGTAGGGTGGAGGTCAAGGGGAGGCACAGCATTAAGACAAATACCTAATGCATGTGGGGCTTAAAACCTAGATGACGGGTTGATGGGTGCAGCAAACCACCATGGCATATGTATACCTATGCAACAAACCTGCACATTCTGCACATATATCTCAGAGCTTAAAGTAAAAATTTTTACAAAGTCTATTAAAAAAGAAATCCATATCACTTGGATGATATTCTCTAACAACAATATAAATAGCAATATCAATAGTAAAATATAGTTTTAATAAACAATCATTTGTAGAGTGAAAAATATGCTAAATAATTTACTGGTTACAAAAATAATAGAAATTGGAAAATACTTAGAACTGAATATGACAAGTAAGTATACTTGGAATCCACAGATGGTAGAGACCACCTAGGGAACACAGTAGAGGTGCTTCTAACTGGAAGAATCCTTTGTAAATTTATGTTTCAGGATTTAGATGTTAATTTTCATGATGGACTATTATTGTACAACAAATTGTCCAACCAGAGAATTTTAAAAAAATCAATAGATACAGCAAATGCCCAGAGATAGGAGAAGTCTGGCAAACACTTTTCAAGTATTTGTAGCCACATGCAATCTCAGCTTTTAAATAAAGAATGCTTCTAAATGAATGTAGGTTCTTACAGGGAAATGTAGTTACCTGTATCCTCTGTCCCCATTTCAGTTCTATTAAACAAATACATAAGGGCTAAGATGTGTAAACACCAAAATAGGTAATTGGAACACACAGATGAATCAGACACAGTGCCTGTCTTTGAGGAGATTGTGGACTAGTGAGAGAGATATGCCTAAAAATGTATAGATTGAATCAAGTGTGAGAAGTGCAAAGCTTTGCTCTATGTGTTGTGGGACCACGGAAGATGGACACTTAGTTCAGCCTGGGGTTCAAGAATGGCTCTTGAAAGAAAAGGCTATGCAGGTTTCCTAAAGCATCAAATCACTTTTCCTATACATGACTTAACACTCACAATTCAAGCAAAATGTACTAAAATTTTTAAATGTCTCTGAATTTTTTTCTGAAGTAGCTAGAACAAGTTCACAAGTAATTTATCAACTTCTCAGTGCATTGTTCAAGACAATTAAAAAAAAGGAGAAGAAAAAAAATACTTGTATTAGTAGCCATCAGCAGAAATAAGGACTTCACTGGGGTATCTCTTGCAAGACTCTTGCTAAAACTTTGTAGAGTTTTTGGAAACAGCCCTTTAGGGTAAGCACCAATATATAACAGCAAAATATTACATTTCTTTAAGTTTCAGTCTTAAAATTAGCATTCCAAAAACCAGACTGGAGAGAAGACAAAGATGCAAGTAAGCATTATGATGTCTGTTTGCTGCCTGCCCTCTGTGTATAAGCACAACAGTAGGTACTTACACAGGGCAGACAGATTGATCAGAAGATCATGGTCCAACCTCACAAGGCTGACTGTTACAAGGCATAAAGAAAGTGATTGCCACATTTGAAATGTTTTATTTAACCATGTGTAAGTTTAAAAGCAAAACTGATTAAATTCGCTCAA
Organism: Homo sapiens; assembly: GCF_000001405.40. Classification (NCBI taxonomy): domain Eukaryota; kingdom Metazoa; phylum Chordata; class Mammalia; order Primates; family Hominidae; genus Homo; species Homo sapiens. Next base: position 79,109,240 of record NC_000013.11, read on the forward strand.
GTAAAATTTCCATGTCTTGTCTCATCTGTATGTGCCCATACATGAGACTTACTAAACTTTCCCTGACTCTAAAACCAGAATGAAAATTTACAAATAAAGAAAGCACCAGATAACACCTTGTTTAACAGACCTCAGTCACTTTGCTGCCATGAGGTCCTCCTGGGTCACTTTCAGTTCTAAAAATGTATGTGGCACATTAGAAAAAAATATCACCTAACCCAGCAATATTTTCAGAGGCCAAGCCTTGCTCAACTGGACCATCTGGTATGATGAGTGTTTTAACAGCTGCCACTCTGTAAAGGGCTTCTCCATTACCCATTCCTGCCAGAGTTGCTGGCTTGCTCTAGTTTATTTCCTCTATGGCTTTTCTTCTTTGAAGATTTGTGTTTGTGCAACTGTGGTACCCAGTTAATTGTATTTATTTTAGGTATTTTCTACTTTGTATGGGTTGAACTGGCTTGAGAGAGATCATGCTGCTTTTGGTGGGGGGTGGGTAGTCACAAAATTTTTAAGACAGGTCATTACATTTTGAAATATGTATAAGTGTGTGTGTGCATGTGCACGTGTTTTAGAATTTAAGTGTTACAAATAATAAGTCCCTCAGAGTGTGTTTTGTTTGTTTTCTAGAACACAAAGAACTTTTGAAGTTTGGTTAATTTCCATGCTAAGAGTTCTGTGGAGTCAAGAGGCAGCATCCCCACTGTGAAACCAATGGAACTCTCTTCAAGGATGCTCAGTGAAAGACAAAGTTTAAAAATGTACAGAACATAGAAACGCCAGCACCTGCAAAACCAGACTTGGGATTTGCCACTTGTTTCTTGGAATTTAGGCTGCCCTGGGCTATGAGGGCTTTCTGTTTCTTTGCCTAGACATTCTTCTACAATTATTGAAAATCAGACCTAATTTTGCTTAGCTTCCCTTTGTTTTCAAGCATGGTCATTGTGATGGTTAATACTGAGTGTCAACTTGATTGGACTGAAGGATACAAAGTATTGATCCCGAGTGTGTCTGTGAGGGTTTTGCCAAAGGAGATCAACATTTGAGTCAGTGGGCTGGTGAAGGGAGGCCCACCCTTAACCTGGGTGGGCACAATCTAATCAGCTGCCAGCATGGCTAGAATATAAGCAGGCAGAAAAACGTGAAAAGAGAGACTGGCCTGGCCTCCCGGCCTGCATCTTTCTCCCGTGCTGGATGCTTCCTGCCCTCGAACATCAGACCCCACGTTCTTCAGTTTTGGAACTTGGACTGGCTCTCCTTGCTCCTCAGCCTGCAGATGGCCTATTGTGGGACCTTGTGAGTGTGAGTTCATACTTAATAAACTCATATATACATATATATATATATAAACTCATATATATGAGTTTATTAAGTATTATAAGTATTGTTATTAAGTATTAACTATATATATATATATAGAGAGAGAGAGAGAGAGAGACAGACAGACAGAGAGAGAGAGAGAGAGAGAGAGAGTTCTGTCCCTCTAGAGAACCCTGACTAATACAGTCATCACTGTTACTTTAAACATAGGTAAACTCTCCCACTGGTTAAGGAAAAGACAGAAGCATCCACTTTTCTGGTGGCAACACGATGCTAGGTTCAATTTCTATAGTTAGCATAAAGAACTGGGAAATTTGAAGGCAAAAAGTCATATTTAAGTATCTCTGCAATGGGAATTTAAGTATTAAAAGATATCTATCTTACAGCAAACACATTTCAGTAAGGATTTTTTTTCTATGACCTATGTCAGCTCTACGCTGTTTCTTCTTGAAGGAGAACTATCCAATCCAATGCCATTTAAGTAGCTGTCATAAAGTCAGAATCTCTATCGAAAGAAAGAAAGAAAGAAAGAAAGAAAGAAAGAAAGAAAGAAAGAAAGAAAGAAAGAAGAAAGAAAACTTGCTAAAATACTGTCTTCTTTTTAGCTGAGCTAATGGCTTCCCATCTAGCTCATTTTAAAGTAAAGGAGGGGGCTTCATTAATTTGAATTCTGTAATTACAGGTCTAGAATCACAAACAAATTACTTCTAAAAATTAAATTTTAGAAGCCAGACCACTTAGCAAAAAACTATTCTAATAGAATTTAATTGAAAAATGCTAAATAACACAAAGATGTATGATTCTTTTGGTAAAGAATATGTCAAAGTAGAAAGGTCACCATCACTCCACTGGAAGTAACGTAGAACTTCCTTGCGTGGGTAGAGAGAAAAGCAGTGAGAGAGTGGGAAGGATTGCAGGATTATGAAAGGACAAGAGTAGGAAACTGTACAGGAAGGAGCAGTGTTGACTGTTTGGGGACCTCATGGTGGGGTGAGGGGTTGGTGGTGGTGTTCATACAGTTAGTTAGAAACAGACATAAAAGATGCATGCATTCGTAGAGGCTCAACATGCAAGAGACTATACAGTGATCCCACTGGAGCTTTGGAGTTAAAAAGCCAAAATTTTGATCCCAGACTCAGTCACCTACCAGCTACAAAGCTGGGGCAGTTACGTAACTTCCCAGGGCCTACATTTCCTCATGTGAAACCCATGAGATGTGCATTTCTTCCTTGAAGCTTTGTTATGAGGATGAAATAACAACTGGCAAATGGATTAGCACAGTACCTGGCACATAGTAGGAAGTCATTAAATACTTTCTTCCTTTCTACTAATTCTGTACCACTCACCACCATCGCCACTTGTACCAAATTCAAGAGTTTGGAAATTTTGTAATCTGTAATAACAAACTCCATTCACTGTGGCTATATTCTTACAGCAAGCTACATAGTGTCTGATAGAGCCATCCAGCCATCACCTTCATCACCTATTTAATAAAACTATTGTGAATCAATTCCTTGCTAAGAATTATATAAGTGAGCTATAGTGCCTCTAATCAGTGTTACTGATTATACAAGCTTTCTGGAAAGTGAAAAAAATGTGAAAACACAGAGATGAAGTCAGTTCAGTTCAGTGGAAGAACAACTGTGACATCTAAAGGCAGACAGCCAGGCTGAAACACAGTGTTGGAAACATGCACAAAGCTATCATGCACATGGCAAATGGCATTGCTATGCACTGAAAGAGATTAAATATTCTTTTCTGCTCTTTATTTTATTGCACTTTCCAATTTAGTACAGAACCCTTTTGCAATAAAACCAGAGTCTTTCTGAAAAGTAAATGTGTCCTTTCATTAATCACCACTTTCCACTTGTTTTTCTCAATTTCGCCATCAAGAAGTCTGCAGTACCACAAACCTTTGACTAGTGTGCTACCTTGATTAAGGCACAAAACGTTAAAAGCAAATTACTATGAAAGTATGAAACAATTTGCACTTAATGTTTCAGTCATATCTGTAAAAAATATGACTTAAATATAGTTTTATTAATAATACATATTTTAATTAAACGGCTGGAGGTGCATCTAGCAGCAAAAAATTGAATCTTCTCTGGATTTCACATACCGGTATGATTCATGGGCAGTAAATATGCAAAGCTTTATGCCCATAAGGCAATCAAACTCCAAAGCTGATATGCATGTTTTTATCTAAAAGAATGAAATCTCATAAGGACTAGAAATAAAAATAATAACAGACTGGTGTACCATTCTAATGAATTGGCTTTAGCCAACAGTATCTTTCTTATGTAATAAAATCATCCTTTCGGCTACAATTACATCCAATCCAACATTTTATGGAAGTAATAACTTACTTCCATTATTCTCATTACACAAGAAAATCCTGTATATGTCCTTAATACATATTGAAAAACTTCACACATATTAATAATAAAATACTGGGATATGAGTGACCACCTTTGCAAAGCAGAAAATGCTTTCCCTTGCAGACAGTTTAGGTGTTGCTTAATCCCTAAAGGATCTCACTTTACTCCTGCTCTTTCCCTGGCATTTGCCTAGTGTATTAGTTTGCTAGTGTTGCCGTAACAAAGTACTGAAGATTGGGTGGCTTCAACAACAGCAATTTTCTTTTCTCACGAGGCTAGAAGTCTGAGATCAAGGTGTCAGTAAGGCTGTTTTTTTCTGAGGCTTCTCCCCTTGACTTACAGTTAGCCACCTTCTCCCTTGTCTTCACATGGGTCTCCCACTGTGTATGAATGTCTGTGTCCCAATTTCCTCTTTCTATGAACATATCAGTCATATCGGATTAAAGCCTTACCTTAACGACCTTGTTTCACCTTGTTTTAACTTAATTATCTATTGAAAGACCCTGTCTCCAAATACAGGCACATTCTGAGGAACTGGGGGTTAGGACTTCAACATATGAATTTTGGTGGAACATAAATCAGCCAATAACACCTGGAGATTATTTTTCAGTTACATACAGTTATATTATCTGCCTCTACATCACTTGGCATGGTATTTTGTCAACAAGAAAAGCCTGTTAAAATTTTAAGACTATGTAGAATGAACTCAAAAGCTAAGATTTTCATTTATATTTTATCTTTAGTTTGAATTTCTCTGAAAAATTGTGTTATATTTGTGATCATCACTTTAAAATACCTGAACAATTAAAAATGAAAAGTTGACTACTATTTAGCTAAAGGTGAGAGAACATAGTCCTTGTAACTATGCCAGACCCAACTGTAACTCAGGAGCCATATGTATCAGGTATCCCTGAAGCCATGCTAGTGAGGATACCTTGCAGGGATGAAGCCGACTTGGCATTGACTTTCCCAAGGTGACCAGGTGATCTGAACAGTACCTTTAAAACTCTATGGTTAAAAATTGGCAAATGGGATCTAATCAAACTAAAGAGCTTCTGCACAGTAAAAGAAACTATCATCAGAGTGAACAGGCAATCCACAGAATGGGAGAAAATGTTTGCAAGTTACCCATCTAACAAATATCCAGAATCCACAAGGAACTTAAACAAATTTACAAGAAAAAAAAACAATCCCATCAAAAAGTTGGCAGAGGATATGAACAGACACTTCTCAAAAGAAGACATCTATGTGGCCAACAAACATATGAAAAAAAGCTCATCATCACTGGTCACTAGAGAAATGCAAATCAAAACCACAATGAGATACCATCTCACGCCAGTCAGAATGGCGATTACTAAAAAGTCAGAAAACAACAGATGCTGGTGAGGCTGTGGAGAAATAAGAATGCTTTTACACTGTTGGTGGGAGTGTAAATTAGTTCAACCGTTGTGAAAGACAGTGTGGCGATTCCTCAAGGATCTAGAACCAGAAATACCATTTGACCCAGCAATCCCATTACTGGTTATACACCCAAAGGATTATAAATCATTCTACTCTAAAGACATATGCACACGTTTATTGCAGCACTATTTACAATAGCAAAGACTTGGAACCAACCCAAATGCCCATCAATGATAGTACAGATAAAGAAAATGTGGCACATATACACCATGGAATACTATGCAGCCATAAAAGAGGATGAGTTTATGTCCTTTGCAGGGACATGGATGAAGTGGAAGCCATCATTCTCAGCAAACTAACACAGGAACAGAAAACCAAACACCACATGTTCTCACTCATAAGTGGGAGTTGAACAATAAGAACACATAGACACAGGGAGGGAAAGATCACACACTGGGGCCTGTTGGGAGGTGGGGGACAAGGGGAGGGAGAGCATTAAAACAAATATTTAATGCATGCGGGGCTTAAAACCTAGATGATGGGTTGATAGGTGCAGCAAACCACCATGGCACATGTATACCTATGTAACAAACCTGCACGTTCTGCACATGTATCCCAGAACTTAAGGTAAAATACAATAAAAATTAAATTACATTTTAAAAACTATGGTTAGATGCATAGACATTTATAATTGTTTTGTCTTCCTAAGGAATTGTCTCTTTAATCCTTATAAAATATCTCTCTTTATCTCTAATACTTTGAGTCTTGAAATCATCTCAACCTAAAATTTTAAAAAGTCACTCCAACCTCGATACGTTTATAATTTTTATGCCATATGTTGTTCCATCTGTTTACATTCAACCTATTTATGTCCTTATATTTAGTGTGCATTTCTTGTAGGGAGTACGTCCTAGATTCTTGCTTTTTTATCCACTATATCAATCTCTGCCTTTTAGTGTTTCAGCCATTAACATTTAATATAATTATTGATATGGTTGGATTTAGGCCTACCATTTTTTATTTGTTTTCTGTTTTTCCCTCTGTGTTTTGTTTCTGTGTTTCTTTCATGCCTTCTCTTTGGTTACCTGAATATTTTTAGTATTCAATTTTAATTTATTTGTTACTTTTTTAGCTCTCTCTTATTACATTTAGGGTTTTCTCTAGGGATTATAATGTATGTATCTTATCTTTCACAGTCTTCATAGAGTTAATACTGTACTACTTCCTGTAAAATAGAATAGTCTTGAAATCAAATAGTCCCCCTCTGGCTGAAGTCTGTTATAGTTGCTACATGAATTATACCTACATATATTGAAAACCTCACCCAACAATGTTATACTGTTTGTTTCAATTGGTCATATGTATTTTAAAGAACTAAAAAAGAAAAATGATAGTATTTTATAATTATCCAACAATATACCATCATGTTGTTCTTCTCACATTCCTAAAGACAAGTTTACCCCCAGCACCATTTTCCCCTTCATCTTAAAAGCATCCTTTAGCATTTCTTATAAAAAAGCTATGCTAGAAACAAATTTTCTTGTCTCCTTCATCCAAAAATATTTTTACTTAAAATTCTGAAAGATACCTCACAGGACTTAGAATTTTATTAATAAATTAACAGCTCTTTTCTTTTAGCACTTTAAAGATGTCTCATTGTCTCCTGGCCTCCATAGATTCAGATGAGAAATCCACAGTAATTCAAATCATTGTGCACCTATATGCAAGCTGTTATTTTATCTGGCTGCTTTTAGGACATATTTATTTTTGATTTTCAGTGATACAATTATAATATGTCAAAGCCCGATTTTTTTTAATACATCTTATTTCCTCTTCACTGAGCTTTTTTTTGTAAATTTTTACTGTTCACCAAATTGGGCTTGGCTATTGTTTCTTCAAATATGTTTATTGTTTCAATCTTTCTCCTCTCCCCTGGAACTGAATTTTCACATGTTAGACCTTGTTATATTGTCCCACAGGTGCCTAAATTTCTGTGTTTTTTGTTGTTTGTTTCAATCTGCTTTGTTCATTGTTCTCTTCATTTTGAATAATTTCTTTTTTAAAAAATAGTTGTACATACTTATGAGGTAAATATATGTTTATATAAATATTTCATTTGTCATTATTAAATCAGAGTAATTAAGATACTCATCACCTCAAGTATGTATCATTTCTTTGTGTTAGGAATATCTCAATTCCTCTCTCTCTCTATATATACACATATATATACACATACACGTATATATATACATATACATATATACACATATACGTATACATATACATATATACACATATACGTATATATATACATATATACACATATACGTATATATATACATATATACACATATACGTATATATATATACATACACATATACGTATATATATACATATATACACATATACATATAAATACACAATAAATTATTGTTGGCTATAGTGCTCTGTTGTGCTATCAAATACTGGATCTTATTCCTTCTATTTTTGCACCCATTAATCAGCCCCTCTTTAATCCTTCCTAGTTTCTAGCAATCATTTTAATCCTCCCTAGTCACTACCCTTCCTAGTCTCTAGTAACCATAATTCTACTCCCTATCTCAATGAGTTAAATTTTTTTTAACTCCTACATAGAAATAAGATTATGAAATATTTGCCTTTCTGCACCTGGCTTGTTTCACTTAACAATGTCCTCTAGTTCCACCGATGTTGCTGTGAATGACAGGAATTCATTCCTTTTATGGCTGAATAGTAGTATTCCATTGTGTATATATACCACATTTTCTTTATCCACTCATCTGTTGTTGGACACCTAGGCATATTCCATATCTTTGCTATTGCAAATGATGCCGCAGTAAACATGAGAGTGCAGATGTCTCTTTGGTATACTGATTTCCTTTCCTTTGGGTAAATGCCTAGTAGTGGGGTTGCTGGATCATATCATAGTTCTATATTTTTAGTTTTAGTTTTCCATCTTTTTTTAGCTTTTTTTTTTGGAACCTTTATGCTGTTCTTCATGGTAGCTATACTGATTTACATTCCCACTGACAGTATACCAGACTGAATAATTTCTATTGATCAGTCTTCAGGTTCACTGACTCTTTCTTCTGTCATCTCCATTCTACTATTGAACCCACTCAGTGAAATATTTATTTCAGATATTTGACTTTCAATTCTAAAATTTCCATTTGGTTGTCCTTTATAATTTTTCTCTGCTGAACTGTATATTTTTCTTTACCTCATAGATCATAGACATTATAGCTTCTTTAATGTCTTTGTCTATTAATTCAACATGTGAGTCATCTAGGGTTTGGCATCTGTTCTTTCTTCTTTCCCTTGAAAATTAGTTCTATTTTTCTGCTATGTGTGTTTGTTTGATTTGAGTAATTTTAGATTGACGAATGTGATGTTCTATAGACTCTGGGTCCTACTGTAATTATCTGAGAAGTGTTGATGTTTTTGTTTTAGCATGCATTCGAGCCATTTAGGTTCATCTTCTGAGAGCAGCAGTTAAACTCTCAGGTTAGGTCTCCCAAGCTGTGCTACCTCATTTGAGACTGAGCCATATATGCATAGCTTAGGGGTTAGTCTGATACTTTTGTGGATTCACTCAGAGAAATAGGCATCTTTTTCTCTAGGCTCTCCTTTCCAAAATTCTTCTTAATACTCTCTGGCCCACAGATGCTTCTTTCCCTAGTTCTCCCAGCCAGAGAAACAGGATTTTTCCTAAGTTTCAGCTACCTCTGCCAAGTAACTACACACTGAGATTCACCCTCAGGGCAAAGCTAGGAGAGAAAAAACGAGGGCTCACTGTCCCTTCCCCATATGAGTTGCCTCTTCACAATCTGCCTACCTTTGTTTACTTTAATATCTGAGCCTTTGATAGATATTTTTTGTATTTTATCCAGAGCTTTTAGTTGTACTCAGCGAGTGGGATAGGCTGTATGGGTTTACATCAACATAGTGAAACAAAAATTCCCTAACCTACCTAGAACTTCCCTTTGTGACACAGCAAGGGAGAAAAGCTGTGGGGAATCGTCCTGTCTAGCTACCCTCACTCCTCCTGAGTCATGCAAGAACCCTAGAAATTACCTACAATTAGGCACGGGTATGTATTAAGGAGGCCCAATAGCCTGACATTTGCCTAAAGTGTAAGCCCATCTACCCAGTTTTTAGGTCAGGATCAGAAGTAGCTGATTCCAACGACAGGTGTGGTAGCTCATGCCTGTAATCTCAGTTAACTGGGAAGTCGAGATGGGAAGATCGCTTGAGCCCAGGAGTTTGAAACAAAGCCCTGGAGTTTGAGACCAACATAACATGACAGCTCTACTAAAAAAGAAAAAGAAGGAAGGAAAGAAAGAAAGAAAAAATTAACCAAGTGTGGTGGTGCATACCTTTAATCCCAGCTACTCGGAAGGCTGAGGTGAGAGGACTGCTTGAGCCCAGGAATTCAAGACTGCGGTGAGCCGTGATTGTGTGTCCAGAATTGGTGGGTTCTTGGTCTCACTGACTTCAAGAATGAAGCCGCGGACCCTCGCTGTGAGTGTTACAGTTCTTAAAGGCGGCGTGTCCAGAGTTTGTTCCTTCTGATGTTCGGATGTGTTCGGAGTCTCTTCCTTCTGGTGGAGTTCGTGGTCTCGGTGGCTCAGGAGTGAAGCTGCGGACCTTCGCGGTGAGTGTTACAGCTCTTAAGGTGGCGCGTCTGGAGTTTTCCATTCCTCCCGGTGGGTTCGTGGTCTCGCTGGCTTCAGGAGTGAAGCTGAAGACCTTCGCAGTGAGTGTTACAGCTCATAAAGGCAGTGTGGACAAAGAGTGAGCAGCAGCAAGATTGATTGCAAAGAGCAAAAGAACAAAGCTTCCACAGCGTGGAAGGGGACCTGAGCGGGTTGCCACTGCTGGCGCTGGCAGCCTGCTTTTATTCTCTTATCTGGCCCCACCCTCATCCTGCTGATTGGTCCATTTCACAGAGAGCCGAGGGGTCTGTTTTGACAGGGTGCTGACTGGTGCGTTTACAATCCCTGAGCTAGACACAAAGGTTCTCCACCTCCCCATTAGATTACCTAGATACAGAGTGTCGATTGGTGCATTCACAAACTCTGAGCTAGACACAGGGTACTGATTGGTGTGTTTACAAACCTTGAGCTAGATACATAGTGCCGACTGGTGTATTTACAATCCCCTAGCTAGACATAAAGGTTCTCCAAGTCTCCACCAGACTCAGAAGCCCAGCTGGCTTCACCCAGTGGATCCTCCACCGGGGCCACAGGTGGAGCTGTCTGCCAGTCCCGCACTCTGCGCCGGCACTCCTCAGCCCTTGGGTGTTTGATGGGACTGGGAGCGGTGGAGCAGGGGGCGGCGCTCGTCGGGGAGGCTCAGGCTGCACAGGAGCCCACGGAGGTGGGGGAGGCTCAGGCATGGCAGCTGCAGGTCCCAAGCCCTGCCCCGCCGGCAGGCAGCTAAGGCCCAGCGAGAAATCCAGCACAGCGCCGGTGGGCCGGCACTGCTGGGGGACGCAGCCGCTTGCCCAGGTGCTAAGCCCCTCATTGCCCGGGCCGGCAGGGCCGGCTGGCCGCTCAGAGTGCAGGGCCCCACGAACCCACACCCACCTGGAACTCCCGCTGGCCCGCAAGCACCACGTGCAGCCCCGGTTCCCGCCCGTGCCTCTCCCTCCACGCCTCCCCGCAAGCTGAGGGAGCCAGCTCCGACCTCGGTCAGCCCAGGAGGGGACTCCCACAGTGCAGCGGTGGGCTGAAGGGCTCCTCAAGTGCTGCCAAAGTGGGAGCCCAGGCAAAGGAGGCGCCTAGAGGGAGCGAGGGCTGTGAAGGCTGCCAGCACACTGTCACCTCTCAATTGCACCACTGCACTCCAGCCTAGGACTGAGCGAGACTCTATCTCAAAAAGAACAAAAAACGGCCTGGCGCGGTGGCTCACGCCTGTAATCCCAGGACTTTGGGAGGCTGAGGAGGGCAGATCTCGAGGTCAGGAGATCGAGACCATCCTGGCTAACATGGTGAAACCCCGTCTCTACGAAAAATACAAAAAATTAGCCGGGAGTGATGGCAGGCGCCTGTAGTCCCAGCTACTCGGGAGGCTGAGGCAGGAGAACGGTGTGAACCCGGGAGGCAGAGCTTGCAGTAAGCCGAGATTGTGACACCGCACTCCAGCCTAGGCGACAGAGCTAGACTCCGTCTCAAAAAATAAAATAAAATAAAACAATCAAGAAAAAAGAAGTAGCTGATTCCAGTTGCTTGTCTTAATGGCCCAGATATATGCATTCAAGTAACTTTTTTGACATTATGGATTTAAACTTATTACTCCTATACCCAGACTAATTTCAAACAAAGCCATCAAACAAAAATAAGATTAGATAAAGAACACCCTGAGGATAACACTTATCTCACTCAACTCTAAAAAGTAAGCCTCATATTGCCCTAAAACCAAGTTCGAAAGTTTGGGATTCATTTCCGTAAATCCATTATTACTCCAAGGAAGTAATTATAATTTCAGCAAGGTTGTAGAATGAGTACTGGCAGTGCCTGAAAATGCATTTATCCATTTAACAAATATGTATTGAGCACCTAAATACATTAGGCAATATTCTAGGCAACAAAATTATTTTAAGATAGAAAAGTAAATTGGTAGACTCCGAAATTTGCTGCCAACACCTGAATGAGCAACTATTCTCTCCTTTTTCATGCTGTTACACTACTATTTTTGCAATTTGCCTTTTTATTTATTGCAATGTATTTTTCTGATTTGACTAATGCATGTTATATGAGGCTGCAGTACAGTTAGGACTATTCTCAAAGAGCATAGAAAATCACTGATTTGATGTAATACTGATGGCTTGGTGCACATATGACACTTCATTGAATGCTGCCAATGTGTGACAGCCACTAATAATCAAAAATACAGTTAGCATATACAGAAGTCTTAAAGGAAATGATAGAGCTAAGTTATCATCCCTACTACCAAAACCAAGAGAGGAATAGGATGCTCTCAATCCTTTTCCCTCATCAGTTTTTTACCCTCTTTCCTGCTACCTGGAGTGCAGGAGAAAAGTGAGGTACTGGTGTGTATCCAGAGCAACAGCCCCACACAGTGCCCCTTTCCAAGATCGGTAATCTGATAGCAGTCATCCTGACACATCAATCTGCTCTCCCCACGCACAGGACTGAACTGGGTTTTCAAAGTCTGCAAAAAACTATCATGCATAAACACTATTGAGAAAAACGGGTAGAGACTCCCCAATTCACTGGAGCATTAAGTCAAGGTCTGACCATGTGCGGGAAGCTGAAGGCCAATTTGGATGTTCAGCAATTTACAACTACTGTACCCACCCTCCTTTTTGGTGATTTTGTTCTTTCTCCATTATTTCCAAGGTCTTCACTTTCTGTTGATAACCTTACTTTATCGAAGTTCTTGGTTCAAGTTTCATCATTTGTTCAGTAAACATGTTTTTTTGCAGAGCAGTTTGTACAACGCCTGGTACTAAACATGGGAATCAATTAACACAGAGAGACATGAAGATTCCAGTGCTCAAGGAGATTCACCCCTGGGTCACAAGCAGCCCTGTTGAGACCCTGAGTCTTTTAGAGCTGTGTCCTCTTCCTAAAGGCCTGCTGCTGCTTCTCACCTTTATTTACCACCCTCACACCGCTCCAGAGTGAGGCTATTGTGGGGGCCCATTTACTGCCTGACTCACAGTCCCCCATCCTCCCTGTCAGTCTTCCTCTGCCTCAGGAAGCCAAGACTGCTGCTGAGTCCTGCTAAAGTTTCTTTTTGTCACCATGTTCATTAAAAAGAAATTAAGTCCAAGACTTAATTCCTGCTCCCTCAAAGCCTAGAGCATAACAAAGAGCTTATTCTACAGAAATTAAAAGCATAGAAGTTACAAAAGTACTAAGTTCAGGTTTTTCATGTTTCCTAGATCAATGGAAGGAAGAGGCTCTCCCTGTGGAAATTAATTCAATTTTAATTCTATTTATATTAATAGTCTATTTTTCTCAGGGAAGAAAGATAACACTTCTAGAAGGAACATCTCTAAAAACTTATCTCCCTTTCTCTCCCCCTGACCCCAACTGAATGTACTGAGTTAATGTCTGTTGATGAAATGTTAAATTCCTCCAGATTACCCAAACTTCACTAGGTAGGCCCCAAGCCCCTGTACTGATTCTTATAACACCATATCCTCTCCTATTTACCACTCACCATAGCTGATATTTAATATTTATTTGCGTGATTCTTTCATTAATGTCCATTTCCCCTCCTAGATTCTAAGTCTCATGAGACCAGAGAGTCTGCATTTTTCTCCTTTTTTTCCTCTCTTCTTTTTCTTTTCTTTTTTTCTTCTTTTTTGCTAACCATCACATCTCCAATGCCAAGCACAGAGGTGATACATTGTAGGTGCTCATTAATTAACCCAACAACAATCTATATATGAATTAACTAATTATGTTTATGTCTCTACCTCGAGACCCTAATGGATACATTTGAACAAGAGTCACTGTTTTGACCGATTGATTGATCAACCTTGGGCCATCAGGAAAAACATCACAGCCTTCAAGTGTCTTTACTGTTTGACAGAAAAGCGACACTTGTTTAAATTCCAGAAAATAAGGGCTGGGCTTTTTGGCCCCAACAAATTTGTCTAAACATGAATCAACTCTCAGTCTCTGAGATCCCCAGAGAAGTGATAAGGCCCTGGAATCTGGAAGAACCAAGTTACAGGATTAGAATGTAGAACCCACCAGGTAAACGATGCTTCTCCATGATCTAAGAGGAGTCTTTAACACTTTTAGTCCATGCCGTTTCTCTAAATCTTTAGGACTGGTGTGGATTTAGGAGATAATGTGTAAAAATGCTGGACCAATAAAGTAATGAAAGACCAGGTTCCAGCTTTGCTTCAATCTTTTAGCAACATTGTGATCCTGAGCAAATCACTCAACTTCCTTAACATTTTAATTTATCTACTGGTATTAATAGAATGCAGTGAATAATGCCTCCCTTGAGCATCCATAGGATTGCCACAAGGTTAACATGGGACAATACATATACAAAACAGACTGAACAAGCAGAATGCTTGCAATGTAAGCCAAAAGCATCTTCTGCATCTTTTCTGTTTTCAATCTGCCTCATTAAAACTTCTCAATGGGGCTGGGTGCAGTGGCTCACACCTATAATCCAAACACTTTGGGTGGCTGGGTTGGGGGGAGGGCAGGGATGGACCACAAGGTCAGGAGTTCAAGACCAGCCTGCCCAACATGGTGAAACCCCATCTCTACTAAAAATACAAAAATTAGCTGGGCGTGGTGGCGCACATCTGTAATCCCAGCTACTCAGGAGACTGAGGCAGAAGAATCACTTGAACCCGGGAGGCGGAGGTTGCAGTGAGCCGAGATCATGCCACTGTACTCCAGCCTGGGCAACAGAGTCAGACTCCATCTCAAAAAAAAAAAAAAAAAAAAAAAAACTTCTCAGTGAACTCAACACAGGCAGCTCATCACTTGCCACTGGATAAAAATGCAGGCAAAGCCCAAGACTTTGCAGGTCACTCCTAGATAGTGTGAAATCTTGCAGATTCTTTAATTCACAAACCAAACATTAATTCAGTAATTAAATTTCTAGTCTCATTTGTTAATCAACACTTCAAACTTGATTTAGAATTAAGAAAACTTTTCCTGTCCCCAGAAGCACCCTGTTGCCTGCAGGTGGGATCACTGGAGCTGATCTGATCACACACAGCTTCTCTCCATCTTGAAATGGGGTATGTAGCTTCTCTCTCTCCCTCACTCACCTCTTCTGCCTTTTCTTCTTCTCTGTTGCTAACCCTCTCTCCCATTTCTTCTCTCTGTCTTGCTAATTTTCTCCTTTACTTGCCAGACATGTTTTTGAAAGAGAGAAAGAAAAAAATGGATTAGGATAGAGTACTTACTGCTTGACTGGTACTGTCAATGAAGGCTTCTCAATGTCTGGGCTGGGGAAGTGTTTAAGGAGCACTTATTCTCACACAGAGTACTTTCACACATTCAACAGAAAGTCCCATGCACTGAGTACCTCTCTTGAAGTTCTTTCGACACTAACCATGCATTCTACTTCCTCGGCTGCTGTGCTACCTCAGTCCCCAGTTTGCTGACTGGTACCTGCCAAACAAATTTTCTCCATGGAAATTTCATTGCCTTTCCACAGAGATCCTCTTGAGTAGAATTTTCTAAACTTTCTTTTAGGAACATGAGTGATCATTCCCGAAAAAGAGAGAATGAGACAGTGAACTCTCATGCACTGTTATCCAGTTGCAACAATTATCAGCATTTTTACCTATTGTTATTTCCCTGGGATATTTTTAAGCAAATCTCAGATTTTCTGTATTTCACTGGGTATATATATATATATATATTTTTTTTTTTTTTTTTTTTGGAGACGGAGTCTTGCTCTATCACCCAGGCTGGAGCGCAGTGGTATGATCTCAGCTCACTACAACCTCCGCCTCTCAGGTTCAAGTGATTCTCTTGCCTCAGCCTCCCGAGTAGTTGGGATTACAGGTGCATGCCACCACACCCAGCTAATTTTTGTATTTTTAGTAGAGACAGGGTTTCACCATGTTGGCCAGGCTGGTCTCAAACTCCTCACCCCAGGTGATCAACCCACCTCAGCCTCCCAAAGTGCTGTGATTACATGCATGAGCCAGCATGCCCAGCCCACTGGGTGTAATTTAAAATGGCTCCAGGCTAGCTCTTTCTCCCAACTGGCCCTCATCTGGCCCAAAGGAAACACTCACAAACTTTCTGTGCTGACCAACTTTGGGGTGCAAGCCAATCCCCCAGCAGCACTCTTCTTCACTCTGTTGCCAAAACAGTTCAATGGTCCTTCTTTCTTGCCATCTAGATTTCCAAGGCAGTATGTCAGAGTGCATAGCTCACTTCAGGAGCTGTGCAGTAAGTGCTATAGGTAGACTTCAGGCCAGGGCTTAGAAAATAGCACTTATCTACATTCCTCCCTCTTGCAGAGAAAACGATGCACAAGATAGCTCTCTCGGAAAAAAAAAGAAAGAAAAGAAAAATCTCAGTATACTATCTCTCAATACTTTTATATCCGAACTTTAAGTTATCTTCAGTGGGTAAAATAGTTCAAGAGACTCCTAACCAGTTTTCTGATGCCTCCTTCATAAATTCTGTATATTGTCCACCATATCCAACAGGACACAGAAATTATTGTGACTTGGTGTCTTGCTCAAAACTTTAATAGTCTGATTTAACTTAGATCCAAAAGGGTAAGCTACAAAGTGATTCCCCATCTCTACAAAAAACAGAATAATTAGCTGGGCATGGTGGCACATACCTGTAGTCCCAGCTACTGAAGAGGCTGATGTGGGAGGATGTCTTGAGCCCAGGAGTTCAAGGCTGCAGTGAGCCATGATTGCATCACTATTGCAGCCTGGGGAACAAAGACTCTGTCTCAAAAGATTAAATTTAATTTAATTTGAATTAAATTTAATTTGAAATAAGAACGAAGAAGTTTCACACAGTACATACCTAACTGTATTTGTTTCAATGACATTGATGCTAATAGAATTTTATTTTATCTTCCAGTACTTTAATTATCCTAAATGATAGATATTTGTAAATTTTTCCACTTATAGCTACTACCAAGTCACTTTATCCTACATTAACCTGTCAGTGGTAAATTATTATTGGTTTCCCACTTAATTCTATTAGTATTCTTACTTTTGAAATTAAAATATGATTATCTGTGGAGAGGGTCATGCTTTTGATATTAAATATGATTAGCTTCTGGAAAAGTGATTAGCTACATTTATGTTCTATTGCCACAGTTCCACTGAGATTTGCAACCTATTAACCCATGATACAGCTAAAACTGAATCATTGTATGATAATGAATACATTCACATGCCATTGACTGATTTCTTTCAGGCATAGAGAGCATAATTTGCAGATGTGGGTGACATAGAAGACTACCGGAACTGTCTTCCTAAGTTTACCCTCATACAAATTTAGAGTAAGGTGACTAGTCACTGATGCTATATTCCCTGTATGCGAGATTGCCAAAGTTCTGCGAGGGACTTGAAGAAAATTTTGGGCAATTG
Organism: Homo sapiens; assembly: GCF_000001405.40. Classification (NCBI taxonomy): domain Eukaryota; kingdom Metazoa; phylum Chordata; class Mammalia; order Primates; family Hominidae; genus Homo; species Homo sapiens. Next base: position 79,126,440 of record NC_000013.11, read on the forward strand.
CATTCTCCTTCCCAAAGGTATTCTGAGCTACATTACACAACAGGCTTCCCCAGAGCAGAAGCAATGCTTATCTTGTTCACTATCTATCCCTGTAGCCCAGTTTAGTATCCAACACTTAATAGGTGCTCAGCAAATGTGTGTTGAATGAATGTGTATATCAAACAATCAGGACTTGTGGGATTTAATCATAGAGCAACTTACTTTTTTCTTCTACTATCCCTTGAAGATATACGTGACAGGGAATATTTTCCCCTCATCTGGATAAAAAAAACATGGGCAGTCCCACAACTGCTGGTAACTCTTCAGTAATTCAAAGTCCCACACTGATTTTAAGTCACCAAGCAGACTCTCAGCTCTGTACTCTGAATGTAAAGATCAGTATAATTGCCAAAGCTTTCACCCTTATTTAATGTTCTGTCTTCTCCAGTTGGGGCCTGCTACAGGGTGAAAGCTCTGAGTCAAGGAAGGACTGTGGTCAGTTTTTTCTGCCTTTTCCTGCTTCTCCTTTTCCAGTTTGTTACCTGAGGTTTCTGACAAGTCTGGCAATTAGCCATAGGAAAAGAAGAGAAGAAATTGGAGCAAAAAAGTTCTTAATTAACAAGCCAAAACCTGAGTGACAATTTGTATGTTTATAACGCATACAATTGACAAAGAATTACTATCCAGATACTTTATTTTTAATTTCTGGAAAAGGGATACTAAGTAAAAGGCTAACAATTCTTAGAAAAATTGAGAACAGGCATTTTTTTCTGAAGAGGAAACAGATGGCCAATAATTATTTTAAAAGATAATTAAGGTCATTGAAATAAAAGATAAGCAAAATAAAACATCAAAGAGATACAATTTCCTACCCACCAGTCAGGCAAATTATGAATTCTGATGATACAACATATCAACAAGAACATGGGGGATATCCGTGGCTTGGATTTGTAGAAATGACAACTGGTACAACCACTTTAGAAAATAAGCATCTCCTACTAAATTAGAAGAATTACATAAATAGCCCATCAATTCCATTCCTAGACAAATACGTTGAAGAAAGAAACACTTGTATATGTGCATCAGGAGACATATACAAAAATATTCATGGGAAACATATCTGTAGCAGCAAAAATGTGGGGGAAATCCAAATGCCTATTGATAATGAAGTGAATTAATCGTGACATATTAGTAAAATATTGTGCAGTGAAGAGGAAAAACTGCAACCACAAGCATTAAAATGGATGAATCTTAAAAGTTATATGTTGAACTGGAAAATAAAACATTTTAAATGTATAGGAACACCTACGCATATGGTAAGATCTTGAAGGAAAACAAGAAAGTGTTAAGCATACAGCTCAGACTAATGGTTACCTCTGAGAAGAAGGGGAGAGAGATGGGTTCCAGGAAGAGCAAACAGTGGCTTTAAGATATTGGTATGGGCCTATTTGGTAAGATGGGTTAGCAAGTATGTGGCTTTTCTCTTCTTTAAATTGCACTTATATATAATTTATACTTTTTTGCACATATACTGCATTTATCAATGTTGAAGGCAAAGACAAAAATAAAACAAGAAAATAAACAATTCAGGTTGATCGAGTTTACTGAATCAATTGTGATTTTAATTTTTTTACTTTCAGTTCTAGAGGCACTAATTTTCAAGGAAGTTCAGGAGAGATGCCAAAGAGAAAGAACAAAAGGTTGTGACATTTTGTCCAAGACTTGGATATTTATGAAGTACATGATGACCCCCCAGATTATAACACAGAGAAAAGCCATGCAGAATTATCAGCAGGATTTTGTGTAAACATTCCCAGTGTGGGGGTAAAAGCTACCATCTTACCATGAGTTAAATGGAGTTACACTCCCCCTCTGTTCATACTCAGTGCTCCCTTATGACTAATGTCTTGTGGTCAACAGGAGTGCACAGGCTTTGGTCACAGTCCAAACTAACTTTCATTCCCAGTTCTACTACTCACTTATGTGATGTTGCGCAAGTTCCTCTATCTCCCTGTGTCTTTCCTCATCTGTAAAATGAGAATAACACCTACATTACAAGGTTAGGAAGGTTAAGTGGCACAACACATACATGGCAAAAGTGCCGAAGTACTTGTAAGGCACAAAGAACTGAGAGTTTCCATTTTTAACATCAGTATCGTCACACACCATCATGTAATTAGTAGGAAGAAAGAAAAAAACATATCTATTAAGTAATTTTCATAAACATGGTTTAACTTGAAGTTGAAGGCTTCTCAGAGCATCTTTGTAGTTCTATAAATTTTAAATACCTTATATTACATATATACTCTGAATCACTACTAATGTAGACTCTATAAAAATCCTGTTATTTTATTTGTTCATACCCCCAAGTACCTGAACTAATAAAATGGTATGAATGGCTATTTACATAAATTTACAATTCTAAATTAGACCTTTAATTTCTATAATAAAAAAGAAAGTAGCTCATGCAATTTCCCATTTTTATTTTCCTACATGGAATACAGTAGCTCTAACAGAATGTATGACTTTGTGAATATTTCCAGGGCTGCTAATATTTTACCTAATATTATATCTTGTGTTTTTTGATCTCTGACCCTCGTTTGTACTCCCAGAACCCTCATGAGCAATGTGTACTATGATAACCCTTGGTAGCAGAAGCAGGACTGAAATTGAAGTTAAATCATCCACAGCAAGAATTTTTCAAGGAGGTCTCTCAGGGTCAGTAGTAATTTTTTTCCATGTATATTTCTCCACTTAAAGAATGTTTCTTAAATATTTGATTTATCAGGACTGAAATATATGACTTATTTTGAAATAGATCACTAGTAAACACTATAGAGTAGGAATATGACCCTAAATTCTTCTTTTTTTTAATTTTCACATTATTCATTATATCAATATATATTCCCACATCCTCTGGGGAACAACGAAATGGAACAGCAGAGCACATAAGAAAATTATGAGACAATACAGCTTTTAAAAGCTGGCAAAGGTAATTTATTGACAAAAGAAGAAATAGAAAAACATTATTTTTAAAATTAAATTGAATCGTTGCCTTAATATTTACAAAAGGTGAAAAGCATTTGAAACCAAAAATGGATATAACTTCCTCAAGGGAGGAAAAAGAAATATTAGCAGGAATCAGAAACAGGTGAGGACAAGATTATAAAGAATTATAACACATTAGGAGCAAACACAGGAGGGTTATGATATAAATGGCAAATGGGCTGGAAAGGATTTAAACAGTCAACGGAAGCAAATAAGGAAAAGGCATTAGTGAAAAAAACATTGCAATTTTAGCACAAAGACAGCCATAAAATCACTAGAGTAAGCTGTAATTTAGAAGATCAGTTAGAATTACTAGTTAGTGATAACTTTCAAATGTTATCAAATGTACCAATTCTCACGTGATTACAACCCAAATCAAATCATTGAGCAAAGTCAATAATGTAGCATCTCCCACTTATTTACCAAAGGAAAAGTGGCTTCAGCTTTCAATTCACAGCAATAGTCTCTACACCCAAAGAGTCTCCATTCTTTCTCCCATTCCCATTACTTACACCTGATACATTTCCTCTTCAATATCAATAAATTGTTCCTTTTTTTTTTTAGACAGAGTCTTATGCTGTCACCCAGGCTGGAGTGCGGTGGCATGATTTCGGCTCACTGCAACCTCCGCATCCTGGGTTCAAGCGATTTTCCTGCCTCGGCCTCCCCAGTAGCTGGAATTACAGGTGTGCCACCAAATCCAGCTAATTTTTTTGTATTCTTAGTAGAGACAGGGTATCGCCGTGTTGGCCAGGCTGGTCTTGAACTCCTGACTTCAAGTGATCTGCCAGCCTTGATCTCCCAAAGTGCTGGGATTACAGACATGAGACACCCCGCCTGGCCTCAATAAATTGTTTCTAAAACCCAAATTTAATCCTAGGATTCTCCTGCTTAAAATTTCCTGCAGTTTCTCCATCACCTACAGGCAAAGACCAGGTAAAGTCAAATTCCTCCACTCAATAGTCCCCTTGATTTCGCCTCTGTATGTTTTTCTACTCTGCTTTCTGCAATGACTCTGGGCCCTCCAGGTAGACTGAAACATTCAAAACCGCTAAAAGCACAGGCCTGAATGCTTCGCTAACTTTGTACCTTCTTTTCTCTCTACCTGGAACATCCTTCCTCCCCTTGTCCACCTGGGAACTTTCTCGTTTTTCATGACCCAGAATCCTGTCAATGGCAGAGCTTTGTTTTTCTCTGTTTTGCATGTCTCTAGGACATAGGAGGGTATCTGTCCCAGAGAATATTCAGTAAATATACATCAGGGGCATGACCACAAGTAACGTTCAAAGATTTTATTAACAGGTTTTTTGGTTTCTGCTGCTACTTCCAACCAGTGTAATTTCATTTTCTTTTGTTAGAATAGGGTGTCATGGATTTAGGTATCCTACCATAAGCATTTCAAAACTGACGAGATACAATGAACAGTGGGTTGATACGAGGAGGGGAAACAGTGAACCAGAAATGACTGCTTCTTACCAGCTATATGATTTGACTCAAGTTTCTTAAAATTTCTCAGCTTCAATGTCCCTCTCAGCAGAATTGTGATATTCTCACTGGGAATTGTTATGATTACAAAATGTGATTGTGAAACTGCTTATTTGCTTTTTTGTTTGTTTGTTTCTAAGACATCACCTCTCCTCTACTACTGATTGATTTTGGTCAATGAGTTCTTTCATTTGTGGCCTATTTTTATCCCTTCAAATAGGTCAGGGTTATTATATTATCCTCCCCAGGATTTTGGTACTGCAGTAGCCTTGAGATCAGAGTCATAGATAACTGGTAGCATTAAAAGGTTAAGAATTTGTTCTTAATCAAATAGTAAGACAGTAATGGCACTACAAATAGAACACATTTTTTATATTCTCATTTCCTTCCATGGAAATGAGCATACTTTTCATTTGCTAATGAACTACACGAAGGTCATAGCCATAGTCATATTGAAATAGACACTCATCAGGTAATGCACTACAGCAGTGTTTATAGGTGGAATAATTATTCAATCAATCAACTTGCTATTAAGTGAGTGCCTACTCTGCACACGGCGTTTTGCTAAATCATGTGGCAGACAAAAAGAAGTAGAGGACACCTTCTCCCACAGTCTCAGAGCCCAAAATAAATCAGCATGCACTTTGAAAAAAATAAACAATTCTTTCTCATAATACAGTACCTAAAAGATAGCTAAACAGTTACATATAAAATATAAACAGCTTCATCAGATGTAGTATGTCAATATATTCAATGATTCACCCTCAAAGAAAGTTTTTTGTGGTGGTTTAAAATCATATAAGGTAGGTCTAATCTCAAATCTTGAGCCTGGACTTGTTGACACATTCACACCTTCATCCATCCATTCATTCAATCATTCATTCATTCATTTACTCAACTATAATTGAGTGGCAAAATATCTATTACCAGAATTTCAGGAAATCATGGAAAGGCCTACCTTCCTGGATGCTGAGCATGACAGGGAGAAGCATGGATTGGGGATTTAAGGCAGGAGAGCATAGACAAAAGGAATACCAGAAAGAAAGAGTGGGAGGCTATAAGTTACTACCAAAGTCCTCCCCATAAGTCCTTAATATTTCAATAAAATTAACAAATTCACAATATCCTAAGTGAAGCACGAGTGTTTGAGAGAAAATGCCAAAAGATGATACCTAGGGTTAACCAAGATGGCAGGCTACCATGCAGAAGCAGAGAAAGAAGAAACAATGGGTAAATAAGAGACTTACATGGAATTGCGGAAGGACTGCTAGATATTCAAAGGCCATGGATGACCAAGGGACATGGAGGCCCCATACATCTGGGTTATTGTCTTAGTCTGTTCCGACTGCTATAACAAATACCGTATAGTGGGAGACGTATAAACAACAGAAATTTATTTCCCACAATTCTAAAGGCTGGGTGGTCTAAGATAAAAGCACTGGCAGTTTGGGTGTCTGGTGAGGTCTCACCTTTTAATTCATGGACAGCCATCTTTTCACTGTGTCCTTATCTGGTGAAGGGGGTGAGGGTTCTCTTCTTGATTTATTTTATAAGGACACTAGTCTCATTCGTCAGGGTTCCACCCTTGTGACATAATCACCTCTTAATGCCATCACCTGGATGGTTAGGATTACAATGAGTGATTTTGACAGGGGGAACAAACATTAAGACCATGGCAGTTACATATCAAATATTTATTAAGTACCTACTATGTGCCAGCCACTGTGCTGGGTGCTAAGAATACAAGAACAAACAGTCCCTGATTTCATAGTGTTTACAAACTACTTGGAGACATACAGAATGAAACAAGTGATTATACTGTAGAGTAGTAAGTGTTAGAATAGAGGCTGTGTGATACACAGATGAACATAAAGGAGAAAGAACAGTTGTGCCAGATGCTTTCTGGAGCAGACGATATCTAAAGAGAACAGGCTCCAGAGTTAGAGACCTGGATTGAAATCCTAATTCCTTCACATACAGGATCCATGATCTCAGGAAGGTTACTTAAACTCTCTAAGCCTCAGATTTTACATGTGTGAGAATGAGATAATAAGAGTTCCTAGTTGATAGCTTGTCATGAAGATGGTATGTTTGAGCAACTAAAATAAATTCATAATGGCTGGGATACAAATTTAGAAGGTTTAGACTAAAAATGATTCAGAAGTAGTAGTCTTGGGCCATTAGATTTGCATTTTCAAAGAGGTGTCTTATTACTAAAAGAAAGTTCTCATTAATGCTTTCCAAAACTAGAGATGTGTTGATGGAGATGGAGTGCAATAGATTGCTTTGAGGAATATTTCAGTACTTGGGAATTAGAGGTGAGGGGTGGGGAGAGACTAGAAAAATCAATGATAACTCCAGATCTCTGGCATGAGCAAGGATTGTAGCATCATTCCTTGAGACAGGTAGCAATGAAGAAAAAGCATATTAGGGGAACATCTTGGGAGAAATGGTAGATTCATTCTGATTGTATCAGGATGGAGGTGCCTGTAGGATCTCCAGGTGGGAACACCTCGCAGGCAGGTAGATACGTGAATCTAAAGCTCAGAAGAGAGAGCTGTTTGGGAAAAGAGATGATAATTAAAGAGTAATTGAAACCATCCAAAGAATCTGTGCAGAGCCAAAAAAAAAAAAAAAAGGCCCAAAATAAATAATGAAGAAAAGACCACTTAAGAAATAGGTAGCTTAAAAAAAGGCAATGAATTATGTGAAAAAGGACAATTTCTAAAATTGTCCCTAAAATTGTCCATAAAATCACAATGTTAGAAGAGAATTTTTTTCTTACATAAACCATATCTTTAAAATGGAGAACTTTCTTTTTGATAAATTTGTAGAAAGTTTCCACCCTCATGAAATTACTTACTAACATTTACAGCATGCTTATAATCTGCCAAACACTATGTCATCACATTTGGAAAATGAAGAAACTTGGGCTTGGTAAAGTTAAGTAAATTGCCACAACTGTTAAGTCTTAGGGCTTATATTCAAACCCCGGAATCTGACTCTGGAGGCTACAATCCTAACACCTGTGTAATTCAGTAATTATGAATGTCGGGATCGGATGGGACCTTAGAAGTCATCTAGTTCAAATCTCCAAGTCAGAAGAATAATCCCTCTTCAATAAATTCTAGCAGAACTCATGAAAAGAAACAATACCTCAAAGGACATCTCATTTGTTGTTAAAGAAATCTAGTTCTACATTTAGAGAAAAAAATTGCCTTCCATGTAGCTTCTACTCTTCGGAATACCAAATAAACAGGGGTATGAAAATGAGGAAAACATTTGTAAAAGTTGCTAATACTTGATATGTAAGCTTGATACAATAGTATAAAATGAAAATATATATATAAAAATTTGACTTATGATACAGATAAAAATTCTAAATAAAATACTGAGTGATTGAATCCATAAGAAATATGACACATAGTATTTAGTCCAGAAATTCATAAATGATTAAACAATATAATCACATCAAAAAATTAAATATCCATATGATTATACTGACAGATGCCAAATAGGCACTATTTTTAAAATCAGCAATTATTTCATTAGGTATTTTAAATATAAGGGAAATAGAAGAAAATTGCTTAAGTGTGATACAGTCTATTACAAAACGAGCTACAAAGATCACAATTAAATACATACTTAAATCACTTTTACTAAAATTAGCAATAAGACAGGGATGATACCAACCTCTACCATGTTCAACATTAAGAGGTTTCACTTACTAAAATAAAAAATATCAGATAATTGGTATAAATATTAGAGTAAAGGCAATAAAAATTTCTACATTTGATCCATGAAACTCTTACTATCAAACTGTAATAAATGAATTTGAGAAGATGTCTTGATGCAGGGAAAATACACAAAAGTTCACTGCTTTTGTCTATAATACTAGTTGACAATCATTATTTGAAGTAGAAGAATATTCCATTTGCAATAGCAATAAAAAATATAATTTAACCCAGGAATTAATTTAACAAGAAAGATACATGACATATATGAAGGAAGTTACAAAATCTTATGGAAAGATAAAGAACTCAATGGAGAATACATTATTGTATATAAAGACTTAGTCTCACAATGTGGTCAATCCTTCAGAAATTTAATGCAATTTTGATCAGAATTTCAATTTGTTTTCTGAGAACTGGGTAACATTATATTTTATATTTGTTATATTATAACATTAAATTTTATATTTAAAATGTTTGAGATAATCATAAAAAACAATACAATATTATAAAACCACGACTAAAGTAGGATACATGGAGGATGTTTGTTGCAAGATTTTTTTGTAATGTCCTAAAAGCAACCAAATTGTTCACTCATAGAGTAATAGTTGAGCGAATTTTATTACATTCATTATGGAATATTAAGATGCTTATATGATCAAATTTTTATAAAATCTTCAACAACAGGATCTATTAATGTCTTTGAATACATATGTTAGGAGGAATATAAATTGATTAATGTGAGCATAGAAAAGACTTTGGTTCAGAGTGAATTAAGTGAAGAGAAGGTGTTCAAAGTGAGGAGGTCATTAAGAGTTAACATCAGAAGGAAGGGAGAGCAGGGAGGGAGGGGGTGAGAAAAATAGTCATAAAATGGAATTTGCATGGTATAACATTAACTGAGAAAGTAAAAAAAGAAGGATGAAAATGAAAATTATAGGGACAAATGAAAACACAGATCTGATTTTCAGCATGGCATTTTAAGGAATTTTTATTTGGTTTCTAATATGGCCTCATAAATAAAGTTTTGAGAGAAAAAGCAACTTGCAGAATAATCTGTTTAGGGTGATCCCATTTTTTGGAAAAAATACACATATAATATCTCTTCTCTAAAATGCAAATCAAAACCACAATGAGATACCGTCTCATGCCAGTTAGAAGGGCAATCATTAAAAAGTTAGGAAACAACAGATGCTGGAGAGGATGTGGAGAAATAGGAACACTTTTACAATGTTGGTGGGAGTGTAAACTAGTTCAACCATTGTGGAAGACAATGTGGTGATTCCTCTAGGATCTAGAACCAGAAATACCATTTGACCCAGCAATCCCATTACTGGGTATATACCCAAAGGATTATAAATCATTCTACTATAAAGACACATGCACACATATGTTTATTGCAGCACTATTCACAATAGCAAAGACTTGGAACCAACCCAAATGACCATCAATGATAGACTGGATAAAGAAAATGTGGCACATATACACCACGGAATACTATGCAGCCATAAAAAAGAATGAGTTCCTGTCCTTTGCAGGACATGGATGAAGGTGGAAACCATCATTCTCAGCAAACTAACACAGGAACAGAAAACCAAATGCCGTATGTTCTCACTCATAAATGGGAGTTGAACAATGAGAACACAGGGACACAGGGAGGGGGGCATCACATACCAGGGCCTGTCAGGGGTAGGGAGCAAGGGGAGGGATAGCATTAGGAGAAGTACCTAATTAAGAGATGATGGCTTGATGGGTGGCAGCAAACCACCATGGCACATGTACACCTATGTAACAAACCTGCACATTCTGCCCATGTATCCCAGAACTTAAAGTATAATAATAAAAAAAGTCTTCTCTTCAGTTACTTCAGTGAACTAGTATTCAGAATGTATAATGAGGAGCTTGTTAACTTTTCCTTTCTATCTGCATTATTAGATGTACTTCAGAAATCAAGTCATACTTCTGTAATTTTTAAAAATCTAGTACAGTGAAAGGAAGGAAGAAGAAGGCAGGGAAAAGGAAAGGAGGCAGAGAGAGAAGGAAGGAGGGCTAGAAGGAGGGAGTTAGAAAGATGGGATTCTAAATAGAAGCTAGAGGCCTCCTCCTTGGCATTATTGGGTCTGCATGGCCTTCTCTAACCAAGATGGACCAGGTACCTCTTCTGCGTGTTCCTATAATACTCTACACTCACCACTTTTGTATCAAATAGAACATTGTATATAAAGGGCCTGATCACTTCTCTGTATCCTCTTGAATTCATGCAGGATTACTTTATTTTATTATTATTATTTTTGAGACAGGGTCTCATTCTGTCACCCAGGCTGGAGTGCAGTGGCACAGTCATAACTCACTGCCCCCTCAAACTCCTGGATTCAAGGCATTCTTCTGCCTCAGCTTCCTGAGCAGCTGGGAATACAGGTGCATGCCACCACACCCAGCTAATTTTTTCATTTTTATTTATTTGTTTATTTATTCTACAGATGGGGTCTCACTATGTTGACCAGGCTGGTTTTGAACTCCTGGCCTCAACCAATCCTCCTGCCTCAGCCTCCCAAAGTGCTGGGATTATAGGTGTGAGCCACAGCATCCTGCCAGAGTATTACTTTATTCACCCTCACATCCTTTGTGATAATCACAGTGCCTGTCACAAAGTAAATGCTTGATTCATAGTTTTTGGAGAGTGGGTAAACTATTTCCCGTACCAAGGGAACACAGTAGGCAGCCAGTAAATGCTCGCTCCCTTTTTAACTAGGTGTTGCCATGGTCTGAAAGTGTGTGTCTCCTCAAAGTGCACGTGTTGAAAGCCAATCTCTAATGCAATCGTATTAAGAGATTGGGCCTTTAAGAGGCATTAGGTCATGAGGGCGCTACCCTCATGAATGGGATTAGTGTCCCTATAAAAGATCCCCAAGGGGGGCTGTTTGCCCTTCCACCAAGTGAGGAAGCCTGAGAAGGTGCCATCTATGGAGCATAGAACGAGCCATCACCAGACACCAGATCTGCTGGCACCTTGATCTTGGACTCTCCAGATTCTAGAACTGTAAGAAATAAATTCCTGTTGTTTGTAAGTTAGGCAGTCAAAGGCATTCTGTTATAGCTGCCTGAACAAACTGAGACAGAGGCCTTTTATATTTACAAAATCTACTATTTCAATTTTAAAAACGATTTTTATTGCTCAAAATTATCACTCATATTTATCTTTTATTTTTACCTGAATGAAAATAATCTAATTATTTACTTAAAACAAAGTGCTATAAGGTTCATCAAAGAATCTGAGTAAAATTTTTATTAAAATGGACAAAAACTCATTCCTTATGTTATCTAATGAAAGGAGGCAACGTGCACATGAGGTGGATTGGACAGAATGTGGCTCCTGAGAGGTGCTCAGTGAGTGTTCAATGTGAATCTACAACAGTGTAAATTGCATTTGTGGTTTAGCTTGAGCAACACACACAATGGACAGACTTTGGGGATTTCTTGACTTGGGTTGGCAATATTAATGTGGTGTAAATAACATCCAAACACTAAAGGGGAGACAGAGAAGTTAAGGACTTTTTAAAACTAAAAGAATTTCCATGACTTTGGCATGTAATTAAACCAATGAAGTTTCCCAAATACAGATGTTTTTTAAGTGTTATGGAAAACTAAGGTAAATTGCATAGAAGATTCAAATCTCATCATTCCTTTACCAAAAAGATTTTGCTCTTCACACTGAAATAAGCTGCTGGGGAACAAAAGAAATTAAGACATATCTGCCTTTGAAAGAACATCTGCTTATAATGACCTATAATTTAAAGACTCCAAGATTTTAGATGAACACATCAAATGCTTTGCAAGCCTCCAGACCAGTTTTATTTGAGTGTGAGCTGCCTTTAAAACTCATTCCTCATGAGCAAAGAACAAACACAAGAATTCGGTTTAATGGGAGATAGTAGGCAGGTGAGTGGGTGGATGGGTAGAGAATGTTTCCTAACTTCTCTATCATCTGTGAAGAAACAGTAAAGAGCAGTCTACCTCTGGGGAGAAGGAGTAAGGTAGATAAAAGGCAGCACATTAGTTAAAGTTGGACAGCACGATCTTTATCACACCTACTTCTGACTGAGCACATTATTAACATTGTTCATAGCCAGGATATGCCACATGTCCTCGTCCACAGCAGGTTGCAAACAGACAGCATATTGTTTTTGCAAAACTTTGATATCATATTACCTTTAGTTAATCTAATAGACACTGAGTTTGTCATAGCTTGTTTACTACCATAATCAAACAGAAGGTTTAAATAATATATAATAAAATGATTAAGATGAAGACGGTTAAATGAATGCTGTTGATTTTCTTTACGCCAAAATGGGACTCATGAACTTAATGCTTTTCTCCATCAAAGTGCACCACATTTAAAGCCAGAGTGAGATGCTATCAATGCCCACTTTACTTTCAAATGCTTTGATAAGGCTTTATCAATGCCATTCATTTTTCTTGAAGTAATGAAGCCATTACATTTGTAATGTAGGAAGCATCATTTTGTTTCAGCATCACACACACAAATGGAAATAAAACTTATTTTCTCTTCTTCCAGATTTGAGTAACATAACGTTGCTAAATCAGAGAAAGAGGCAGCTGCCCCCATCCTTTCAAGACTCGCAACTCTCCTGTGCTGAGGCAGGTCGTGTGACGTTTCCCACTTATTTATGTTTTTCCCTAATGAAAGCGTGCTTCTTTGTGTGGCAATAGATAGTTTAGATTTTTTAATATTGTTAGTGTTGAGAGATAAACACTTTGGTACATATTGGAGAGTAATAAATTGTGTCGAACATTGATAAACTAACGCAATTACCAGCAAGGTCAGAGAGTCAGCTAATTTAGAAATATCAGTCCTAGGATTTTGAGTTGTCCCCTGGAGAACTGCAGCCACTTTATTACAGCAGGAGGGTGAGGAGAAAATGGTACATTAGGATTGATCTTTTGATCTAATTGTGGAACTCTGCCATTCCTTGTTTGACCAAAAATGCTTACCAAGCAAGAGGAAACATAGCACAACTAATTGAGGACCATCCCTTACAAACCAGAGGAATTCTGGGAAATAAAGGACAAATTGCACCTGATATTACTGGTATGAGGTAGCTGTCACCGAGGTGCATGTTTGTGATTCTTTTCAAGGATGTTTTTTAAATCATAATTACAAACAAAATTTAGTATATTCAACCAGTATAAGGAGAAAAATTCATTTTTACATTTGTCACCTGTGCTGATAAAATTCTAACAAATTTTGAATGAAATATTTAGCACCCCTCTTTGGAAATGGGGCTTAAATTAGACTTCAGGGTACTTAGCTTTCAAAAAACTTTCATCTCCAGGAAATGTTTTATGGGCCTTGTATATTTTTTAATATTTATCTCCTTGCTATCAATGATACAAAGAATATGCATTGCCTAACTTATACCTAAAGCTACATTTATTCTAGACTTTCTAAATTCTAGACTAAAATGTAAGTATAATTTTCTGTTTACATTATTATTGTAACTCTTAAGATGATTTAGTTTAGCTTTCACCCAATATCTATCAGGTCCTGGCCTCTAGGACTAGGCTAATTTGACTGATTGTGTTAAAGTCAAACTGGGTAACATCCTGATTCCAGAGTCCAAATAGAGTTCAATTGAAATAAGATTCGTGTTTAGCTACCAGGCACATCATAGGCACCAGCAAATTGTGTTACTTGAGAAAGCTGTTTCAAATGTAGTCTCTTTTAATACATAATCCCATTTGATAAGGGAGTCACACAGGAAGCACTAAGACTGCAAAATGATTAAAAGGGTATATATGCAGCATCTTTGAAAGGCACGGAATTGACAGCCTTTCAGAAGTTCAGATTCTCATATTGGACAATAACAAAAATGTCTTAAGACTCTGCCCTAATATTTCCATGCAAATATGTAAGTTACTTACAACTAGTAAATTCTGATAATCTAATAAGGTTGGATTACATCTGAAAATCTTCCCCTTGGATATTATGCTTCCAAAGCAGAAACCTTTTAATACAGGAATTCGTGCTCAAATGGTTATAAGACAATCAGGAAAAGAAGTAAAAATGTGGCATCGTTTACTGCGATTCTAATTTCAAATGGAATCAAGTTTTCCAAATAGTAAGGTAATTAACAGGAAGAAAAAAGTTCTTAAGAAGCTGAGTAAGGAAAAAGATGTCATTGTTGAATGATTATGGACCACACTTTCAGTTCTTTGCCAAGATTCAATTCAGTGCCTGCAATTTTCAGACTCACAGACACGTCTTGCAGAATCCAGAGCCCCTTCAGTTTCATTAAGTTTTCCTTCTATATCCTCAGTTGCTGTGAATTTGGCTGTATTATTGAGTACTTAAAGTTCACTCAAGGATGTTCGTATTTTCAAAACAGGGTCTTGAGAACACAACTAGAATGTTGACAATTCTGTACTGTGGCAGCAGATTGTATTAATGTACACAGCAAATAACCGATGTCAAATTGATGCAGCTGCCCAGCTGTCTGGCCTTTGTCTGCAGGTTTAATTCCCAGAATGGGACTGGGGTAATCCCTTTGTGATACAATCAGCTCTAGGGGTTTAGTCGCTTATATTACATTATTGAAGGGATGATGAGCTGATGATGGGCTGATAACAGGAAGATTGCATTAGGCAGAATATTAGCCCAAATACCTCTGAGATGCTAAACTGCCTCTGTTGCTGGAACCTTACACACAGTTTTTTTTGTTTTTGGTTTTTCTTTTTTTTATATTAAAAAAAGCAAATTGAAATCATCTTACGATAAGTCTGAAGTAGTTTGCCTAGATAAGAGTCCATATTTAGCATATAGAAGATAATTTTCACAATAAATGGATAACAGAAAAATTTGGAATAGAGAGTATATTTGCATAACATATTATATATTGTGTAAAGTACACATATAACATATACATATATTATATACATATGATAACAGTATAATATTATTTTGGTAAAGTCATACAAACCAATAGATTTGTCACAAATTATATCATGATTTAAAATACTGACTGCCTTTAATTTCAAGAATTTGAAGCAAATTTCACTTTCAACATTATTTTGAGACTGGCATCATGAGCTACTGTGTCTTTCCTCTATCAAAGTTCTCACCAGCAAAGGCATTAATACTTTGATTTTCCGAGGGGAGCGATGGCACGTTATTTGGGTTAGTTAGCAGGCCGGTACCCTCTGATCTTATAATTCTTTGAGAATGAGAACTTCAGAATTTGTGGAAGCAATCTTGTTCCAAATAGGAGAATACTACTTTTCCTAACCTGCAAAACAGAATTCCCTCAAATAAATTGTTTAATTCGTTTAACAAACCATTTAAAAATCATATTTTTCATTAGAAAATTACTTTGAATTAGTTTTGAATTGGTTTTCAAAAAATTGATGAGTTTATAATATGATAATCAATGTGTTCATTCATTCAGAGAAGCCTGTAGGTTAATTGCTCAGAATGAAATTGTCCCAGAAGCTTCCGTCTCTTCTAGGAGCATATGAAGTAATGTGTATTTTGGAAATGTGTTCCACGGACAGTAAAGAGAGGAAAGAAGTGAACTGGATCTTCTGGCCCCGGAACCTCGGCTTAATGGCTTGCTCAGCACTGCTAATAGGTAAAAACCCAAAGTGAATATATTAATATTTGGCTATCCCAAGGCTTTGCATTTTTATCTTTCATTTTTTCTTTTTCCCTTGAAAACGAATCATCTTCTCCTCAGTCACCAGTATGGGGTCTTCCTATTCAGTATCAGGCACAAAATATATTTGTAGATAAATAAACTAACATGCTTTTTCACAATTTTCTGAACCAAAATCTGTACAGATTCTTCACTCAAGTTGAAAAAGAATATCTTGCTCATGTTAATAATCTATACAACCACTTCTAAATTTAGGACTTGATGATCCTTACACACAGATACTTTGGCAATTATTTTTAAGTAAAAGCAGGTATCAGCTTTTTGTTTTTTGTTTGTTTGTTTGTTTTTCTTTGAGATAGGGTCTCACTCTGTTGTCCAGGCTGAAGTGCAGTGGCACAATCAAGGCTCACTGTAGCCTCCACCTCCGAGGCTCAAGTGATCCTCCCACCTAAGCCACCCAAGTAGCTGGGACTACAGGCACACACCACCACGCCTGGTAAACTTTCTTATTTTTGATAGAGACAGTTTCGTTATATTTCTCAGACTATTCTCATACTCCTGGACTCAAGCAATTCTCCTGCCTTGGCCTCCCAAAGTGCTGGGATTATGGGTGAGAGCCACCATGCCTGACCTGCTTTTTTTCTTTTACATAAACTTTATTTTTTAGAGCAGTTATGGGTTTACAGCAAAATTGAGTGGAAAGTACAGAGAGTTCCCATATACCACCAGCCCCCACACATATACACGCAGCCTCCCCCACTATCAACATCCCACACCTGAGTGGGACATTTGTTATAATTGATGAACCTACATTGACACATTATCACCTAAAGCCAATAGTTTATATATACTTACTTATATATAGTTTATATATACTTATAGTTTATATGTACTTACTTATATAAGTAAGTATAACTCTCAGTGTTGTACATTATAGGGATTTGGATAAAAGCATAATGGCATGGATCCACTATTATAGTATCACACAGAGTAGTTTCACTACCCTAAAAATTCTCTGTGATCTGCCTATTCAACCCTCCCTCGCCCCAACACCTAGCAACCACTGGCCTTCCTGTCTCTTTTCCAAAATGTCATATATTTGGAATCATACAGTATACAGCCTTTTCAGATTTGCTTCTTTTGCTTAGTAATAGGCATTTAAGACTCCTCCATATCTTTCATGGCTTGATAGTTCATTTCTTTTTATTGTTGATTAACATTCTGATGTCTGGTGTACTACAGTTTATTTATCCATTCACCTCCTGAAGGACATGTTGATTGCTTCTAAGTTTTGGTATTTACGAGTGAATCTTCTATGAACAACATGTACAGGTTTTTGCATAAACACAAGTTTTCAATTTATTTAGGTAAATACCAACAAGCATGATTGCTGGATCATGTGATACGAGTATATTTAATTTTGTAAGATACTACCAAACTGTCTTCTAAACTGCCAGTGCCATTTTGCATTCTCATGAGCAATGAATGAGAGTCCCTGTTGCTCCACATCCTCGTCAGCATTTGGTGTTATCAGCATTCTGGATTTGGGCCATTTTAACAGGTTTGTAGCAGTATCTCATTGTTGCTTCCATAAGACATATGATGTTGAGCATCTTTTCATATGCTTATTTGCTATCTGTAAATCTTCTTTTGTGAAGTGTCTATTCAGGTCTTTTGCCCATTTTTAATCAGGTTTTTTGTTGTCTTATGTTTTAGGAATTGTTTGTATAGTTTGGATAACAGTTCTTTATCAGTTATGTCTTTAGCAAATATTTTTGCCTACTCTGTAGATTGTCTTCTCATTCTCTTGTCATTGTCTTTCACAGAGCAGAAGTTTTTAATTTTAATGAAGTCCAGCTTATCAGTTATTTCTTTCATGGATCACGTCTTTGTTGTTGTACATAAAAAGTCAACACCAAACCCAAGGTCGACTAGGTTTACTCCTATATTATCTTCTAGCAGTTTTATAGTTTTGTATTTTACAATTAGGACTGTGATCCTTTGAGTTAATATTTGTGAAGGGTATAAGTTCTGTGTCTAGATTCACTTTTTTGCATGTGGATGTACAGTTGTTCCAGCACCATTTATTGAAAAGAGTATCTTTTCTACATTATATTACTTTTGCTCCTTTGTCAAAGATCATTTGACTATATTTATATGTGTCTATTTCTGGCCTCTCTAACTTGCTCCATTGATCCGTTTTCTATTCTATCTCCAAAACCACACTGTCAATTACCGTAGCTTATAGTAAGTCTTGATGTTGAGTAGTATAATCCTTCAATTTGTTCTTCTTCGATATTGTGCTGGCCATCCTGAGTCTTTTGCTTTTCCATATGAACTTTAGAATCAGTTTTTTTATATCCATAAAATAACTTGCTGTGATGGGATTATGGTTGGGATTTCATTGAATCATACATCGTTAGTTAGCTTTTGCTGTATAACAAACCACTCCAAAACTTAGTGGCTTAAAAAAAAACTGCTTTATTTCATTCACAATTTTGTGAGTTAGCTGGGCCAATTTCACTGATTTCTCTACTGAGCTAGCTGGTAAATCAATTGGGAAGGCCGGGCGCGGTGGCTCACGCCTGTAATCCCAGCACTTTGGGAGGCCGAGGCAGGCGGATCACGAGGTCAGGAGATCGAGACCATCCTGGCTAACACGGTGAAACCCCGTCTCTACTAAAAATACAAAAAATTAGCCGGGCGTGGTGGCGGGCGCCTGTAGTCCCAGCTACTCGGGAGGCTGAGGCAGGAGAATGGCATGAACCCGGGAGGCGGAGCTTGCAGTGAGCCGAGATCGCGCCACTGCACTCCAGCCTGGGCGACAGAGTGAGACTCCGTCTCAAAAAAAAAAAAAAAAAAAAAAAAAAATCAATTGGGAATTGGATAATGTAGGATGGTCTCACCCCATGTCTTTCATTTGGCTATGTTAGTGAAGTAAAGTGCTGATTGACTGTACTACATGTCTCTTATCCTCCAACAGGTTAGCTTGAGCTTCTTTATATAGCTGTGATTACAGTGTTCCAAATACAGCAACAATGCAGGTCCCAAAAGACAGGCACTTTCCAAGCCACTCCTTGTGATGTATTTATTAAATGACCCACCTGATAAAATAATCTTATATGCTCAGATTCAAGGAGTAGGGACATAAATACCAACTCTTGATGGGAATAGATGCAAAGTCACCCTGAAAAAGAAGTGTGCCTACAGGGATGGGAAACATTTTGACCACACATAGTATATGCTTTTAGGACCATGACACACTGAAAGAACATTATAATTGATGACTGCAGTAGACATGTGTTAGTGTTTGTCTACAGAGTATCCAACTCCTGTTTCTAGTTTTGGAGAGTTCCTCATTGTTACAACTACAAAGTCTCAGTGGGGTATCATTCTCCAATTTGTGATACAAAAACTTACTCCTCCACACACAGGACTACCAGAATCTTGGAACATGATGGGAGGTGGGACTTTGAATCTTGAGAAAATGAGCCAAAACAAAGGGACATTGGCTGCATACTATTCTCATGGTGAGTTCTCAGGTTTCATTTATTATCTCAACAAAATTGATTAATCCTCATCCTTATAATAAGTTATTCATTTACCTTCTAGAAAATCACTTTCTCATTGTTCCATCTATTTTACTGGCTATATAAACATCTACCTGCTTGACATCTTCACATGAATGTTGTTTTGATGCATTGGTGCTGCTCTAGCAAAATACCTGAGACTGGGTAATTTATAAAGAACAGAAATTTATTCTCTTACAGTTCTGGAGGCTGGGATGTTCAAGATCAAGGAACCAGCAAGTTTGACTTCTGGTTCATCATAGATGGCTTCATCTAGGTATCTTCAAATGGCAGAAGAACAAAAAGCAGAAGAAAACAAACCCACTGCCTCAAGACCTTTCATAAGGACCCCAATCCCATCCCTGAGGGCTCTGCCCTTGTGACTTAATAACCTCCTAAATGTTCCACCTTTTAATACTATTACATTGGTGATTAAGTTTCAATATATGAATTTTGGAGGACACATTCAGACTATAGCAAATGTCTAAAAGTTAATATGTCTAAATCCAAACTCCTAATTTCTACCCCTAAGCCTCCTCCTCCAGCAGTCTTTCCCATCTCAGTAAATATAGTAAATACAGCTCCAGCCTTCCAGGTGCTCAGGCCAAAAGACTTGGTACTTGCAGATAGTGATTTGGGAATAAAAGGAAAAAAGAAGAAGCCTTGAAATTATCTTTGCATTCCCTGACTCCTCTCTTTCTTTTACATTTAATTCATCAGCAAATTCTTTCAGAGGTACCTTCAAAATATATCTGGGGACTAGTCGCATCTCACCACTCCACAGCTTCTTCCTGATTCAGGCCCCATCACAACTCACTGGGATTACTCAACAGCCTCCATATGCTCCTAACTGAGCCCTGGCTTGACCTCCACCTCATACACATTTCTTATCTCAACACTGTAGCCAAAGCAGTGTTATTAAAATGTAAGTGATATCACATTATTCCTCTGCTCAAAACCTTACAGTATCTTCCTATTTCATTCAAAATAAATGCCAAGGTCTTTATAATGGATTTCAAAATTCTATATGATTTAACCCCTCCCCACCTTTGTTGGTCTCTGACCTCATCTGCTCCCACTCTTTCCCTCCCTAATTCTGTTTCAACCACACTGGCCACCTTGTGTTTCCCTGAACACGTTTGTGCCTCAGGGCCTTTGCATTTGCTCTTTTCTCAATCTGAAATACTCTTCCTCCACATATCCAAATGGCTTTCTACTTGTTTTTCTTCAGGTATCTGATTTTTAAAAAATCTCACCTAATCTGTACGAGCCACCCTAGATATCTTACATCAAGTTGTAACCCAAGGTCTCCAACACTTGACACACAATTCCTTTACATTGGGGATAAAACACATTTCAGAGCTTTCATTATTATCTGATATATATTTACCTGTTTATTTATTGTATGTCTCTCTCCTCAGAATGTAAATTTCAAGAGGGTAGTGATAGCTGTATTTCTAGCACGTAGAACAGAATCTGGCATGTAGTAGATTCTCAATAAACATTTCAAACGTTTATATGAAAAAATGAATGAGACTGGGTGCAATGGCTCATGCCTATAATCCTAGCACTTTGGGAAGCTGAAGTGGGCAGATCACCTGAGGTCAGGAGTTTGAGACCAGCCTGGCCAACATGGTGAAACCCCATCTCTGCTAAATATACAATTAGCTGGGCATGGTGGTGCATGCCTGGAATCCCAGCTACTCAGGAGGCTGAGGCAGGAGAATCGCTTGAACCTGGGAGGCAGAGGTTGCAGTAAGCCGAGATCTCACCACTGCACTCCAGCCTGGATGACAGAGCAAGACTCCATCTCAGAAAAAGAAAGAATAAATGAATGAATGGCTTCTCTATAGCAGCAGTGGCAGTGGCCTGTGGAAGCAGTTTCATCCTGGACAGATTGTCTGTGCTTCCCAAATACTGCATCTTGGCACCTCTGAAACTGTCTTGATCTCTGGCCATCTTGTACATGTAGTCCTCTAAATTCCCTTTGATTCTGTTGTATTCAAAATCTTTCCAATCAGTTCCCTCTCTTTTTCTCCTAAAATAAAGTTGTTTTCATTGCTTGCAACCAAGAACCCTGATGATACACTAATGTACTTTACCGTCTCCCAAATTTATTGTACAACATTCATCTCTCAGAACTCTCCTTCTCAGCTGAGCAAATGTGATCAAATAATTAGCTATGTATGAACTTAAACTACTTTTATCTTCAATAGAGTATAAGATGAGAATAAAAAGTTTTTATTTTCCAGCTTCGATAAAGGAAGCATACTGTTTTTTGCATCTATTCCAAGTCAAAAACACATAACCACAGAACAGTTTTAAGCCCACCCAAATCTGTCAAACAGGTTTTTTTCCAGTGCTCCTGAATGTCAGCAAATCCCTACACTCCATAATTCCTCTAAACCTCCTAAAAGATTACTCTTTGCTTTGTTCAGAGACATTGTGTTTCATAAATACAGCTCCCTTTTGCATAGCAACTAATGATAAATTATAACAAATTCAGCTTTCTTCCAGATATATTTGAGTGGTGGGCTCTTCCTTTGATAGGAGGTATTAAGGAATAAACTATTGCCAGTGGAATTCAAACTGTTCATAAGCTGTCACCTTTGTTAACTTTCTATATTGAATACATTTTATGGAGAAATTATATAGTTATTGTAGAAGGTAGTCATCATGTTTATATGACAACCCCAAATGCAGGCTATCTAGGATTTTATTTAGAAAAAAAAATGACTACTTACTCTTAGGTTTGGTGACGTATAATTGAAAATGATGCTGAAGAAACACCTGTCAAAAGCTATAATATATGCCAGAATAACACATCAACTGAACCTTTTTCTCCACAAAAGCTAACCAAAAGTTTTGATAAAATTTCTATAGTGGACTCCAGGCCATCTTTAAGAGAAATATCTTAATTGCCATCAATTTTTCAAAATAACTCAAAGAAACTTCCGGCTTTAACCTAAAAAAATGGGAAAGTTTCCCTCCTACCCTAACAACAACAAAAAAAGCCATATAATCTAAAAAATTATCATTTTTCTTAATTCTGTCAGACACCAGAAGTTGCAGGGTAATCAGTTAGTCTGAAATCTAAGGAAAGGTAAGTAAGTACCATGTAAGTAAGTGTCTCCAGGGAGACATGGTGCAATAGTCCTGCCTCACTTGTAGCAGCCCACAGGAGAAAGGTGGAAGCTACCATACAAGTGGAAGACAAAAAAGGAAAAGAATGGGGCAGAAAAATATTTTAAGAGATAATAGCTAAGAATTTTCCAAAATTAATAAAACACTTCAAACCACTGATCACATGATTTCTCAGAAACAAGAAGAATAATTGTAAAAAAAATCTATATATGTTACAAAACCCGTATATATGTCATACTAAACTACTGAAAACCAAAGATAAGGGAAAATCTTAAAAGCCATCAGAGAGAGAGTTAATGTTATATACTGAAGAACAACAAAACAAGAATTACAGGATATTTCTCATCAGAAATTATGCAAGGTGGAAGACAATGGAGTGCTATCTTTAAAATGCTAAAAGGTCATAACTCAAAGAGTACCTTATTTCTTCCAAAACCTCTGCCAGAACTTTTCAGTCATTATTTATAAGATACAACTTTTCCAGAAACATCATTTCTGGAAATGGTCTGTATTTGCATTGGTTGAATTAAATAATTTATAGATTGGAATTTTTCAAGTTTTAACATAATTTATATGAAGAATATCTTATGACCCTTGGGTAAATTTAAGACAATGCAGACTACTTAGAGCATGGTTTGATACTTCAGGGCAGCCAGCAGAACTAGCTGGGTTTCTCATTGCTCCAGAATCATAGGAGTCAGTCCTACTAATTTCCATGAAGTTATAGATGCATTGGTCTTAGTGATTAACAGTCCAGACTTTGAGTCAGAAAGATCTGGGTTCAAACTCTGGCTCTACCACTTAATAACTCCAAAAGTTGGGGCAGAGCCTCTGACTCTCTGTAAAAGGGGATTAACAAAACCTGCTTGAAGTGGTTTTGTTATGTATGAATTAAATGAGATACACATAAAGTGCCTAACAGTAATAAGCTCTCACAAAATGGTAGTTCTTATAATTAGTGTGCTGTTATTTTAAGATTTGTGCCAATAATTAATACTTAGACTCAACTCTGGATAACAAAAATGAATGAAAATGCATTTCAGATGAGGATTTTTCAGTAGCTACTCTTTGATAATTTTTCTTGCAGACATTAGTCTTCGGAGGAAATTGTGGAACAAGGCAAGTGATTTTTATTCCACTGTAAAATAAGGAGCCTACAAGAAATCTTATAAGGTCTCATGATTGAAAGTGGCCTGGTGGGTATTGCCATAGGAATTAATTACTAATGTGTCATTTGTCACTGACATCCAAAATGATATTCAATGTTTGCAAAGTGTTTTGAGTACCTTCCATAAAAGACACGTAGAGACCACAAGTGTTATGGTTTAATAAAACAATCCCAAAGCTAATGATAAATTTCATCAGAAAAGGCAATATGTGTAGCTTGTATATGTAATTCTATTGTTAAGATTTTTGTTGGTATGCATGAGCAATATTGGTATAAGTTATCTCTAATTTTATACCACAATACATAGCTGTCTTTTTAAATTTGTTGCGTTATAGGAATCTATAGTATTCATTGATAAAATACAAATCATTTAAAGTCTATTGTATTTATTCCAGAAGTTGTAAAATATCATTATGATTCTGTATATAAGTGTGTATTTTGTCCCTAATTGTAGTTTCATAATTTTCAGAAATCAAGTTTCCTCAGCATCCTGTAAATAGCTTATAAATAATAGCCAGATTATTTTGAATTTTTTCTGCTTTATAAATGTCATCGAGCAAGCATTCAATAATATCGAGCATCCACTCAGTGCAGGTCATTGTGTTCAGTGCCAAATAAAACTAGTAGCACATTATTAGAGTGACTTACATATGGGCTACTTTTTGAACTATGCTAAGATAATTAAAACCACATGCTACATTAAATAACTTCATTTAATGGAGAGTTTTTAAAAATCATTTCAAGGCCATTGATGATTTTTTTTGCTCCTATTTACTTCTTTAATAAAGCAGATACTCTCCTTTATGAGCAAAATGGTGATTTGCAGCAAATGATAACTCAAATGATTAAATAATAAAGGAGATGGGATGTATTGTGCATTATCTTACACTCAAGTACTTAAGATGATTTGCTTTGCTAGAAGTTTTGTTTTGCAGATTCCCAGGGCTTGAGAATAATATGCACAGTCATTTCATTGCAATACTACCTTTCTGACTATCGACATAAAGAGTTTCTATACCACAAAAGAATATGAAATTTCTGTTACTGAAAATATAAAGCCCCTTTTTCAATAAAAAATGCATGTACACTTCATTAGATGACCGTCTATCTGCTTTTCTTGAGGACATTAGTCACAAATCATTGAATTTAGTTATCATCTGGTCTAAACTTCTTATTTTACAGATAAAGTAGTTGAACTGAAGAGAAACTGTGACTTCACCACAGTCTCAAAGACATTTATTAAGACTCGTAGAATCAGAGTTTTCAGGGCTGGGGCCTCAGAACCTGCATTTTCTGACAAGCCAGAAAAGCTGCTTTCAAGCAGAGATGAAAACTATGGGTCTGGCAAGACATACCAGACCATATGAGTTTTGTATTCAGACAGACCTGAATTCCACATCCCTTTGTCACTTACTACTGTGTGACTTTGAGCAAGTTATTTATCTCTCAAAATCTCCATATCTCAATTTCTTCATATAGGAAACAAGGATAATACCTGCCTGATGGGCTTAACATACATATGTATGTTAAGTAAGTTGTGCAGTGCATGGGATGTGTCCAGGGCTTATAAAGGACAGCTTTATGACTGCTTAGCTTCTCTACAACTTGCCTGATGCTCTTCATTACTTCCACCCCTCTTAATCTTGCGAGTGTCTCCTCTTGCGGGCTCTCAGAGGACCTTGGTGGTTATCCCACTGCCTCCCTAACTTTTCCGACTCTCCCATGGGTGCCTCTTCCTTTACCTCCCATTAAACGTGGCCTTCCTTTAGGTCTCAGTCCTCCATTCTTTTCTCTGGCTATTTTGTAGAAGGTCTATTCCTTTCCTATTTTGTCACCCAACTCCTACTTAACAAAGACCCTTAAATTTATATATTTAGCTCTAGCCTACCTTGAGTTCCAGAATGGCATTTCGTTTTCTATGATTATTTCAATAGCTTTTAGGATATAAGTGGTTTTTGGCTACATGGATGAATTGTACAGTGGTGAAGTCTGGGATTGTAGTGCACCTGTCACCTGAGGAGTGTACATTGTACCCAATATGTAGTTTTTTATCCCTCATTCCCCCACCACCCTCCTCCTTTTTCTCCAATATTCTTTATACTGGGGGTCTCCAATCCCTAGGTTATGGAGGTACCAGTCTGTGGCCTGCCAGGAACCGGACTGCATGGCATAAGGTGAGTGGCAGGCAAGTAAGCATTACCACCTGAGCTCCACCTCCTGTCAGATCAGTGGGGGCATTAGATTCTCATAAGAGCACAAACCCTATTGTGAACTGTGCATGTGAGGGATCTAGGTTGCACTCCCCTTATGAGAACCTAATCCTGATGACCTGTCACTGTCTCCCATCACCCCTATGTGGGGACCGTCTAGTTGCAGGAAAACCTGCTCAATGATCTCACTGATTCTACATTATGGTGAGTTGTATAATTATTTCATTATATATTACAATGTAATAATAATAGAAATAAAGTGCATAATAAATGTAATGCTCTTGAACCATCCTGAAACCATCCCTCCCACCTCAGTCTGTGGAAAAATTGTCTTCCACAAAACCAGTCCCTGGTGCCAAAAAGGTAGGGGACCACCGCTTTATACTATTCTGTATGTCATTACATATGCATAACTTGGTTCCCACTTACAAGTTAGAACACACAGTCTTTGGTTTGTCCATTCCTGAGTTATTTTGCTTAGAATAAGGGCCTCCAGCTCCATCCAAGTTGCTACAAAAGACATTATTTCATTCTTTTTAATGGCTGAGTAGTATTCCATGGTGTATATATAGCACATTTTCTTTATCCACTCATTGGCTGATCAGCATTTAGTTTGGTTCCATATCTTTCCAATTGTAAATTGTGCTGTGATAAACATATGCATGCAGGTGTCTTTTTGATATAATGACTCCTTTTCCTTTGGGTAGACACCCAATAGTAGGATTGCTAGATCAAATGATAGATCTACTTTTAGTTCTTTGAGAAATCTCCATACTGTTTTCCATAGAGGTTGTGCTAATTTAATTCCCACTAGCAGTGTGTAAGCATTCCCTTTCACCATACCCACGCCAGCCTCTATTATTTTTCAGCTTTTAAATAATGACCACCAGAATAGCATTTCAAGCTGTCATTAAGTATTTCCAGTTTTTGGAGTCCTGTACATGCATCAAACTCATCCTAACTTGAAATGAACTTGCTAATACACACACACACACACACACACACACACACACACACACACACACCTCAGCTCTGTGCCTCATACTGTTTTTTATCTTTTATCATAACCCCATCTTTATTTAAAATTTTGATATTTTGCTCATAATGGGTTTTTGCATTGATTTTGATTTTTAACATATTTATCAAAATATTATTTGTCTTGATTACTAGTTTTTTGAAGTCCTCTTAAGTTATGTGCACAAGGCTAGTGCTGCACATGCCTCCTCCTAGTTCCTCCCTGGGCATTACCATCTAAATGTCACTTGATAAAAATTATTATTAGCTGTGGGTTCTGCCCTTGATTGTTTCTAGGACCTGATTTTGGCTTGGTTCTGATTGTATAATATCTCTCTTCTGAGCAGTCTCTGAGCCTGATTCTCCACCTTTAATGCCAATTTCATAAGATCCAATAACCTTTCAATAAATACCTGTTCTACTTAAGTCTGACAGAGTCTTTTTCTATAGCTTGCATTTAAGAAGAGTGAATAATCACGCCTGTAATCCCGGCACTTTGGGAGGCCGAGGCAGGCGGATCATGAGGTCAGGAGATCGAGACCATCTGGCCAACATGGTGAAACCAAAAATACAAAAAATTAGCTGGGCGTGGTGGCAGGCGCCTGTAGTCCCAGCTACTCGGGAGGCTGAGGCAGGAGAATGGCATGAACCCGGGAGGCGGAACTTGCAGTGAGCCAAGACTGTGCCACTGCACTCCAGCCTGGGTGACAGAGCGAGACTCCAAAAAAAAAAAAAAAAAAAAAAGGAGAAGAAGAAGACTGAATAAATGGAAGAAGGGAGTAAGGGAGTAATAGTACTCAAAATTATACTACTAGGAAGTTGCAAAAATCTTACTCTGGCATCTAGGAACAAGACTTTTTGTGTTTGTATTTTGTATTTTTGTATTTGTCAGATTTCTATGGTTTGATCTTCCTCATAACATTCTCACATAAAAGTACTCAAATTTCAGACACAGTAACAGTACAAGTACTTATTGGCCAAGAAGTCCATTGTACAAACTTCAATATGGGCCAGGGGGAATTGTTTAATGTGCCATCATAGTATCACAGCATAGCATATACAAGCACCTGCTTCATAACAGAGAAAACTGGGTTAGTTCCAATTTCTGAGCTTGAGCAGAACATTACCAGCTGTATTACCTTCAGCAAGCTAGTTATCTTCCTAGACCTCTACTTTAAGATTATTGTGTGGGTTAAATTTAAAATTTAAATTAGTTAACATCTTGTCAGGCACACACTACATGCTCAATTAATGTTTGTGGAGGTAGTGGAGGTAATGATCAATTTCATCTCCTTGTTGTATAGAACTCCTAATCTCAAGAAATTGTACTGCTCTATGTAATAAGAACAAGTTTACATTCATGTTCAATAGAAAACAGTTCTACAACCTTTTCTGGAAAACAAACATCTTACTGGTCATTCTCTCAAGGCCTCCAGCTCAGGGAACCATCTTTTCCAAATCCAGAGTTCCATTTACATTGTATTCTGTAGAAATGCTGCTCCTTGGAGTTGTACAGTATACAGCCTGTGTATTACAGATCTGTTTCTGCTTTTGATTTAAGCAGATAATGTGAAGATCATGAGCTATGACTTCTTTACTCTTTTAGTATTACCTTCATTCTAGATTAAACAATAATTACTACAGTATCAGAACACCAAATATCAATTCAACCTTTTGCTGTCTGTGTTTTCTTTTTAAAATAGGTATCAAATAAGTATTCTTAATTTTAGAATGTTTATAGAATATTTGTTAATAGTGTTGATGTTTTTTCCTTCTGGTTGAATAGGACTTGCAGTATGCCTCTTTACCCAGAGTGAATATTAAACATATGGGGAAGTAGTTAAGCACCTATAATTTTGTTAGTCTCACAATGTACATATCAGGCTTATCACCAACACAGGAAAACCTCAATGAAAATGCTGTATCAAAAATACAAAATGGAAATGCATCCGAAGTTAAAAATAAAAAAACATACTGTGCTTTTCCCTTAGAAACATTTGTTTGTTAAAAAGAAAATTGTATTCAATTTTTGGGAATATATACTGGACATAAGTTTCTTCAGTTCAGATAATTTCTTGCCAAATGATATGTCCTCACATTAAATAAGTGCATATGAAACATTAGCATTAATTTGTTATGTGATAATCAAGATAGGTAGTTATTTAGCAGGTTACTTTTTATTCCTGTAAGCAAAGAATTGAATATGCAATATAAGTTCACAGTAAACAAACTTTAACGTAGCCTGACTGAATAACCCTCGTTATTTCATCATCATTATGATTATTGTAGGTCTCTATCAAAACTTCAGCCTGGTGAGTCAAAGATGATAGTTGAGAAAAGAAGTGTCCCAAGCTGTATTTGTGCCTGATTGGGTGAGGAAAGGGAGGGGAGGAAGAAGGAATGAGGAAAACAACCAGATACAAGACTCTTAAAAAGCATTACACTTGTTGATATGA
Source organism: Homo sapiens (assembly GCF_000001405.40). Lineage (NCBI taxonomy): Eukaryota > Metazoa > Chordata > Mammalia > Primates > Hominidae > Homo > Homo sapiens. The sequence goes on from NC_000013.11 coordinate 79,155,914, forward strand.
GCAAAAGTACAAAAAGAAACACATAACTAGAGTCAAGTTATACTTAAGAATCAAAACCAGAATCTCAGAAAAGAACTTTGTATCCTGCCTATATTTGTTTTGTTGTTGTTGTTTTGTTGTTGTTGTTGTTGCCTTTGGCTTGTCTTTTCTATTTTGCAAGGCTTTTATCACCACCTAGGGGCAAGCTAAACACATAAGGGGCTCCTTTTTCACTACTAAGTCGTTCCTAAATTATGTGTTTTCTGAGTCAAAAAGACGTTTATGATTTCAAATGACTGTTTCACTTCTCCCCCCAAAATAAAAGTCAATCTTTTATTATGTATTTCTTTTTCATCTCAAATGTGATTTTAAAATATAAACTGATTTTTGTATTACATGAATATCATCTTTTAGTTTTATCTTTCTGTCTCTTCTTATATGTCATCTTGTCAAAAACTTTTACTTCATTTTAAGCAAATTTCATCTTTATAGAATAAGCCCACTTTAAAAATGTTCGGCCCTAAGCCTTTAATTACTATGCAAGGCATTTGCAAAGTATGTAATACAGTAACTTTGGATTATCTGTATAGTTCAATGATGAATCATACTAAAGAAACTCTTCTGCTAAAATTATTTAAAAGTAACCTAATTTCAAAGGTTAACAAGAAAAATTTAGTTTTCAGACAAAATATTAAAATGTCTCAGTTTAAAGTATCTTCACATGGAAAATGGTTTTGATTCATGGTTATAATAAACCATGGTTATAATAAACAAGCTCATAATCACAAATCAGTATGAATTGAAAATAGAAATGAAAGAGGTGTGTGATTTATGACGGTGTTAATGCAATTTCAAATAATTTTTCAACTATACTATTATAAAATACAAATAGTACCCAGAAAACAAACCTGTAACTTTCCATAATTTAGAAAAACTACAGCATCTTTTGTAGTTAATTAAGAAATTGCAATTTGGCAAGGTGCTAAGGTAGTTTCAGATGAGTAAATGCTATTCTCCAGATGTCAATTTTCAGATAAACAGAGTTTCAAAAACCCAAACTAAGCAACCTTTTCTCTAGATCTTTTATTGGCTAAAGTGTAAATAGGTTTTCACATGCTTAGAGAAATTGCATTTTAAAGATTTTTGATGGTATTGTACTCAATATTTATTAATATTTTATCAATAGATAAAGTAAACAAGAGGCTAAACAAAGCATTGTGAATACACCCATCATATTGCAGCCAAGTCAATTGTTTTCAATCCTTCCATCTTAATAATTGCATTTTGAAAATGTACATAAATTCTAAAATTTTTTATTTTTGTTGGATTCCTAATAATTTCTTATTTTTCAACAGTAAACATTGTTCAGTGAAATTTTTAAAACCATTAGTTAATTAGCCGGGTGCGGTGGCTCACGTCTGTGGTCCCATCAATTTGGGAGGCCAAGGCAGGCAGATCAGCTGAGGTCGGGAGTATGAGCCTGGGCAACATGGTGAAACACCATCTCTACTAAAAATACAAAATTAGCTGGGTGTGGTGGCGCATGCCTGTGATCCCAGCTACTTGGGTGGCTGAGGCAGGAGAATCGCTTGAACCTGGGAGGTGGAGGGGGCAGTGAGCAGAGATTACACCTTTGCACTCCAGCCTGGGCAACAAGAGCAAAACTCTGTCTCAAAAAACAAAACAAAATAGAAGAAAAAAACAAAAAAGCCCATTAGCTAATCAACAGAGTTCCCACAAGCATGATTTTTTTTCTCTCCCCAATAAATACAAAAACAAACCTCAGCACTCAAAAAAAGAAGAAACATGTTAAAATCCAAAGACAAAGACACAGACTTAACCTTTGGCATGTCTAGCCACATGCCACACTGCCTTGTTAATATAGGCTACCTCTCAACATGGACATGCATGGTGAGGATTTTCCAGATGCCAATTCCCTACAAGACTGGTCTTTTATAGAGCTCCAGTCCACAGAATTCTCCAGCTCAGCTCTTAAAGCTAACATTTTACATTCGAAGGATACTTTCGAAGAGTACTTCCTCAAGCCCCCACTGCAGGCACTGAAAAGCCCTGACCTATTATCCTCAAAATTGCCTCTAAGAGTGAGAATTCCCCCTTAAAAAAGAAAGTTCAGTAACTAAGGGTAGCGGTCCTGCTAGGAAACAAGCAGATACTCAAAAAAAGGGGAGGCCCTATTTTGCTTTGCTTTTTAGAGGAAACTAGAAAAAGATGCGAATAAAACAAGATGGTCTACCATTATACTAAGTGAAAAAGTCAGGCACAGAAAGATAAATATTACATGACCTCAGTTATATGTAGAATCTAAGAGTCAAACTCACAGAAGCAGAAATTAGCATGGTGGTTACCAGGGCTAGAGGCCTGGAGGAGATGTTGATCAAAGGACACAAAATTTCACTTAGGAGATAAAGTTCAAGAGATCTGTTGTACAACATGGTGACTATAATTATAAAAAATGGAGTGCATACTTGAAAATTGCTAAGAGTAGATTTTCAGTTTTCTTACCACAGATAAATATCTGAGGCAATACATATGCCAGTTAGCTTGGTTTAGTCATTCCACAATGTATACGTATTTCAAAACACCATGTTGTACACCATAAGTATACAAGATACATAAGATATATCTGTCAATGAAAAATAAATCAGTGTTTTAAAAAAGAACTTCAACAGGAAAACAAAAATGAAGTGATCTACAAGGAGATTGTTGTTAGTCTTTATTATTATAGCCAAGCTCCAAGCTGAAGGCTCTTTCTAAGTGCTTCACACTAATGTGTGGTCTATTTGTTACCAGTCCATGGCAATAGAATTTGAAACTATGCATTTAAGAACTTGTATACCAATTTTTAAATTTTTATAGATACATAATAATTGTACATATTTATGGGGTATATGTCATATTTTGATACATGCAGACAATGTGTAATGATCAAATCGAGGTATTTAGGATATCCATCATCTCAAACATTTATTATTTCATTGTGTTGGGAATATTTCAAATCTCTTCTAGCTCTTTTAAAATGTACAATAAATTATTGTTAGGTACAGTTACTCTACTGTGCTATTTAACACTAGAACTTATTCCTTCTGTCTGTGTTTGTACCCATTAACCAACCTCTCTTCATCCTCCCGACCTCCATACCCTTCCTAGCCTCTGATGACCATCATTCTACTCTCTACCTTCATGAGATTAACTCTTTTAGCTTCCATATATGAATGAGAATATGCAATATTTGTCTTTCTGTGTCTGGCTTCTTTCACTAAACACAATGACCTCCAGTTCTATGCATGTTGCTGTACATGACAGGTTTTCATTCTTTTTATGGTTGAATAGTATTCCATTGTGTGTATATACCACATTTTCTTTTTTTTTTTTTCTTTTTTAAGACCCAGTCTTGCTCTGTTGCCCAGGCTGGAGTGCAGTGGTGCAGTCTTAGCTAACTGCAACCTCTGCCGGATTCAAGCAATTCTCCTGCCTCAGCCTCCCGAGTAGTTGGGACTACAGGTGTGTGCCACCATACCTGGCTAATTTTTGTATTTTTAGTAGAGATGGAGTTTCACCATGTTGACCAGGCTGCTTTCAAACTCCTGACCTGAGGTGATCCACCCACCTCAGCCTCCCAAAGTCCTGGAATTTCAGGCATGAGCCACCACGCCCGGCTACCACATTTTCTTTATCCATTTATTTGTTGATGGACATTTAGGTTGATTCCATATATTGGCTATTGTGAATGCTGCTGCAATAAACATGAGGGTGCAGGTATCTCTTTGATATACTGATTTCTTTTCCTTTGAATAAATGCCCAGGAGTGGGATTGCTGGACTGCATGGTAGTTTTATTTTTAGTTTTTTGAGAAATCTCCATACTGTTTTTCATAGTGGTTCTACTAATTTACATTCCCATCAACAATGTATAAGAGTTCTGCAAATGAGATATTACTTTTCCACAAACAACGTATTATCTCACCCCATTAAAATGACTATTATCAAAAAGACAAAAAATGTTTAAAACGCTGGCAAGAACTTTTATAGCAATTTGAAAGTGTAGTATTGTATCTGTTGGATCTAATAATTAGAATCCTCGGTTTATAGCTGTCTTTTTACATTTAATTTTTCTATTAATTTATTTTTACTGTATTTTACAAAAATACTAATCCATGACAACTGAAAGAATTATTTTTAACTGGTTCTTTACTACAGTAGTGTGGAAAGCTCTGGTTTATGTACATTTTCTCATTTAATTTTCACATGAAACATACAATGTAAATACCACTACTACCCCCATCTTTCAGTGAGGAAACCAAGCTTGGAAAGAGGAAGTAATTTAGTAGCTGTCCGAGTCTGGATTCAAACCCTGGTTCCTGTCTTTTCAGTTCATTTGGCACCTGATACCATTTCTCCATTTTGGATAATATTGCCATGCTGGGCACCAGATCCCAGTATTTTCACCCAGTGGCATATTTTATCTTTGAATGTCATTAAGGAAATTATGAGAGTTATAGCCAACAGAGCATTTTCTTTACATATAAATTATGAATTAATTACTTGTGAATTTTTCTACACTTTTCTTATACCTATTTGTATATTCAGCCCTTAGCAACTCCTACAGAGTTTTGCAGATGTACCACCCACAATATTAAGTAAACTTTCCTCATATTTCCCATAAATTTAAAGCATATTGCCCCCTGATTACACTATTCTGAAAATCTTTTGTTCATGTTTTAGCTATGAAGGCTTGACTCTTTTTTTTTTTCTTTCGCCTCATTTTGGAATAAATATAGACTTATAAAAAGTTGCCAAGATAGTACAAAGAGGTCTCCTGTTCCCATCACTCAGTTTTCCTGGATAGTAACATCTTATGTAACTATAGTACATTGTCAAAACCAGAAAATTGACATTGACACATTACAATCAACAGAACTTATGGGGATTTCACTAATTTTTTCATGCACTCATTTTTTGAACTTTATTCCTTTTTGCACTATTTAATTAGAGTGTTCTCTAATTTTACAATCAACATATGCAACATATTCTGCTAATCTGTTTCCTTTTGGGGCAGCTCTCAGAATCAACATCTTAAGGATCCAGATCATCATTAAATTTATGCTTATGTTAGCAGTTCTTAGTCATATAAAGAATCCCACACTGGCTGCATGGCTACAAGAACATTTATATCACTGGTCTAATGTTTCTGGTCTCATTGACTCCTTCAAACTTCAATGAAAGGAAGCCCTACTGATTACAGTGGGCTCATGGTCCACCCAGACCCCAGCCTGACTATTACAGCTCTCTAGTCTGCTTTGACAATTCCACAAACTTTTATTGAGATCCAGTTTTTATAGTATTTGTTGAGATGCAGAAATGAATAATTCACCATCCCTGCTTTCAAGTAGCTCACAGTCTAAAAGACGAGAAAGAAATGAGCCTTTGATTTCTGTAAAGGTGGTGAGCCAGCACTGGCTACAGGATTTTTCCCTGAAAAATACCTTGGAGAAATTATAGAGAAAGAAGTAAGCAGGGATCTGGGAAATTAAGATGGAAACTGCAAGAAACCCCTGAGGGAAGGAAGGCTATCATGAACTGTTGTCAGGCTTACTTATAGTATGGAGGGAGGGGGGAGGGGGGACAATGACAGAAGACTGGGTGTATGTAATGGGGAAAGTCTTCAGATTTGCTCTTCCTTCCCCCATGTGCATTGGGGAAATGATGGCTTACCCAATTACCACAGATAGGTAGAAATCCACAGGTGAGAGCCCAGCCCTCCCAAGGTAATTTAGTAGCATTAGGGTAGCACCAAAGCTCTAAAAAGATGAGGAGTGAAGAGACCAGATGCTGGGAAATCAGCCACCCTCAGCAATATTGCATGTATTCCCAGGCAAGAGGGGCCCCTGCCCTTTGTCCTTACCAGACTCCATGCATCCCCTCTGGACCATATTCCAGGTATTAATATGGCCCTGATCTCATTGATAGGTTCTGTACAGGCCTCTTCCTCAGTCCCATCTTTCCAAGGATAGACTAGGTCATCATCATCATCAGTGTGTACACCCCTAGTCCATGGGGTGACAGTTGGTGGAGAATGTGGTCAGAACATGGGCATGCAAAGTTGCAGTGTCTATGGACATACATGAGACTTCTTTAGGCTAGAGTGAGAAGAGCCTGGGGGTCAGTTTGCTCCACTGCCACACTGTGGCATGAAACTAAAATGAGACCAAGGATTCTGAATTTGAACCTAGCTTTCCAGGATGTTATGATGGTGTGTTTGTCAATGTAGAGGTATAGAATATATTTTACTGAACAGTTTTTTTTTTACTTTATTTATAACTTTTAAATATTTAGACAAATAATTTGTGGGCCTTCATTTTACTCCTGCCCTGGGTCCTACAAATGTTAGGAGTGTACCTCTGGTGGCATTCATTTCCTCACCACTTTTCTTTTGAACCCTCAGCTGTAATGTGTTACAGTCTAAGGAGCTTGTCTTTTTTTTTTCCATGCTGCTTTGCTCAGTGCTTAAGGAAATATTTCTGACCACTGAGTTGTTTGGTGGAGTAGCAGCAGAGGATGGTCAGCACCAGGATTTCTGTGGTATCTAGGGCTCTCCATCCTTTTCTGCCCTCCATCTCCTCTCTTTGAACTCATCTGTGGATTCACAAACAGAGGCCTGGGTATGAGCTCCTTCTCTAATGCATATTGCCAGACAAGGCAGCTGATATATCCAAGGGAACATGATCTCTATAGACCAAATTGACTGTAACCTGAAGAATGCAGCCAATATACAAAACAGGAAAAACTGAGAAACACATACTACATAAAATTAAATTACTAAAACATGTCAAGAATTTAAAATGAGTACACTTTTTTAAAGGGATAAAAGGGGTAATACACAGCTGAAATAAAAACTCATAGAAAGGAACTTTGTGAAAATATTAGCTATACAAAATATAATAAAAATAATTGGCTTAATAGATGCAATAAATAATGGAATGGATATAGCCAAGGAAAATTGATGAGTTGAATAAATTACTTGAGAAACTCATACAGAATCAGAAAAAATAAAAAGATAGAATGAGAAGTAGAGAGCAAGAAAAAAGAAAGCTAAGGTACATCAAGGATAGAGATAGAAGTGCTAATGGAATAGCGACAGTCTAAGCATGAAAGAAAACAATTACATTTTCCAGTAGTAGTGACAGAAAGACCTGAGATTAAAAGTGCTGATTTAATGCTAAAAGGTACAGATGAGGAAGATCCATACCTAGACACATTATGTCTAATGTATCTGATAAAAATAAGATCAAATGCAACACTTCCAAAGAAATAGCTGGCCACCTATAAAAGAAAAATGATTTGAGTGACAGATTTCTCAACAGCAACACTGGATACAAAAAAGGATGGAATAATATTTTCAAAATATTGAAGAAAAAACTTTGTACCTAAGATACTATATGCAGCCAACTGCCATTCAAATGTTAGAACCATATTTTCAAGCAGAGGAATCCTCACTTAGATGCATTTTGGAAACACTCTTGCAAAATATACTCAAACAAGCAGATACAACCAGAAGGATATTGCAAGAGATAAGGGAAGTTAAAAAAAATAAAGCTTATTAATCTATTAACCAAAGAAAAAAATGTGTAATAACTCATAACTAAAATTCTAGATAATACCAAGATGATAAGAGTGGGAGAAGGATGCCCGGCACGGTGGCTTATTCTTGTAATCTCAGCACTTTGGGAGGCCAAGGTGGGCGGATCATGAGGTCAGGAGATGGAGACCATCTTGGCCAACATGGTGAAACCCCATCTCTACTAAAAAAAATACAAAAAATTAGCCAGGTGTTGTGGCACGTGCCTGTAATCCCAGCTACTTGGGAGGCTGAGTCAGGGGAATCGCTTGAACCCAGGAGGCAGAGTTTGCAGTGAGCTGAGATCATGCCACTGCACTCCAGCATGGTGACAGAGCAAGATTCTGTCTCAAGAAAAAAAAAAAAAAAAGAGTGGGAGAAGATCTTGCTAAAGAACTTGTATTTTTATAGCGATATTTATGTTTAAGAATATAATAGAATAAATTAACATAAATATTGATGTTAGGATATGTGCAAGCACCATAAGAAAACACATTAATTTTAAACTAACAAAATAAAGTTTCATCTAACAGAAATGAAGAAGAGAAAATTTTTTTAAAAAGTATAATTAGTAAAAAAAGTAAAATATCAAAAAAACTACTCATTATGTGACAGCAATTAAAATAATTATTTAATCCACTTACTAATATAAGTGGATTAAATTCACTAATTAAAAGAAATTCTTGGCCTAGATTTTTAAAGAAGGTTCACCAATATTTTATCTATAAAGACATATTGATTAACAAAATGATACAGAAAGGTTGAAAATAAAAGGTTGTGAAAAGATGTACTAGACAAATATTAACTGAAATAAAGCTCATATAGCAATCATCATATCTCACAAAGTAGTAGTTAGAACATAAAATATTAATAAGAACAGACAGACAATATTTACTGATAAGAAGCAATAGAGCAAGAAGGTAACCATCATGAGCTTACAGGAATTGAACAATAGAGTCTCTACATGTGTAAAACAGCAATAATAGAACTGCAGAGCACACTGGAGTCTACCTGAGACAGGAGGGAGAGGAGCAGAAAAGGTAACTATTGGGTTCCGGGCTTAATATCTGGGTAATGAAACAACCTGTACAACAAACCCCCATGACACATGTTTACCTATGTAACAAACAGGTACCCCAAACAGAAAATAAAAGTTAAATAATGATTAATTAATTTTTAAAAAGAACTGCAGAGCAAAATACATAAATCAACAATTGTAATGAGAAAAGTCAACATATCTCTTTCTGAGACATATAGATCAAGCATATCAAAAAGCTATAATACAAATCTAAAAAACACAATTATTAGCTCAAACTATATAAGACATATAGAACTGTTAATCTAACAAACAAAAAAGATATATTGCTTTTGAGCACATGAAAATATTTATAAATATTGGCTATGTACTGGCCATAAGGAAACTTCAAAAAATTCTTAGAAATTGAATACTATATAAACTATGTTCTCTGATCATAATGTAATAAAATTAGAAATAAACAACAGATATATAGCTAAAACATCTTGTATATTTAGAAATTAAAATGCTATAATTAAAAATAAAATAAGAGAAATTACTAAATACTTACAAGCTGATGACAGTATAAATGTTCCTTGTTGAAATTTTGTAAGCATAATATTTAAAGTAATATGCAGATATAAATACATGTATTGGACAAGGTAAAGACAGAAAACAACCAACTCAGTGTTCACAAGATGTTGGCACAAAAGCAATATTGCAAACCTGAAGAGATAAGGAGAAACATCATCAAATACATATACATGGCAGGCGTGGTGGCTCACGCCTGTAATCACAGCACTTTGGGAGGCCAAGGCAGGTGGATCACTTGAGGTCAGGAGTTCCAGACCAGCCTGGCCAACATGGTGAGACTCCATCTCTACTAAAAATACAAAAAAAGTAGCCAGGCATGGCTGCAGGTGCTTGTAATCCCAGCTACTCAGGAGGCTGAGGCAGGAGAGTTGCTTGAACCCGGGAGGCAGAGGTTGCAGTGAGCAAAGATCACACCACTGCACTCCAGCCTGGGAGACAAGGGAGAAAAAGAAAAAAGTATATATATATATTACAATATAGGAGAGAGAGAGAGAAAGAGTTTAACAAAAACCAAAATGTGGTTCTTTGGAAAATTTAATAAAATAAATTTATTTTGAGTGAGAAAGATAAATTCAAAATGAAATAACATAAATAAGTACAAACACAATACATTAAAATGCTAAAGGGGTATTATTAACAACTGTTAGCAAATTTGTAAACCTAGGTTAAAATATGAACTATCTAAAAAAAAGAAACATCTAAAAAAGTAGAATAGAAACTTGACCAGAACAATGAACATAAAGAAATATAAGTAGTAATAAAAGACTTCCTTCATAAAAAAAGAATAAAAAATAAAAATAAAAAAACCTCAAATCCAGAAGGTTTATAATAAACAAGTTTTACCAAATTTTCAAGAAATCTGTAAGACTTATCTAAATTGCACCAGAAACTAGAGAGACCATGAAAGTCTGCCCATTTCATTTTATAAGGCTATAAATATGATCTCAAAACCAAGCAAGAGCACTTGAAGAAAATCACAAGCCTATTTAACTTGTTATTGTAGATATGAATATCAAAAATAAAATATTAGCTATCTGTATCAATAGTGTATCAAAATAATGCATAGAAACCTAAGGTCTCCAAAATGGTGGTCATGGGTTTTGTGACCAGAGAGGTTGTGGTGGATGTGCTGCTGTATTTTTATCAAGGTTATGAAACCCCTGGTGTACAGTGCTTGTGGAAGAGGACACTCACAGACACTGAACTATTAAGAACTACCTGAGCTACCTGACACCTTGGATTATTCTGCTTTTGAAGACATAGTGAAAAATGGATTTGAAAGACTGACCCCTCGACAGCCAATTGAATTGCTCCGTATGAAATGATCTGAGCTTCCAGCCCCTTCCTCCGGTCAGAAAAACGACATTATTGCATGGCAAGAAAGTGTAAACAATTCTATGGCCCAGCTAGAGCATCAAGCAATTTGAATCGAGAATCTAGACCTAATGTCACAGTGTGGATGTAATGCCTGGAAGGTATATAATGAAAATCTAGTTCATATGATTGAACATGCACAGAAAGAAGTGATTCAGAAGTTAAGAAAACATATTCAAGATTTAAACTAGCAGCAAAAGGACATGCAACTCACAGCTGGAACTAAATCAAGAGAAATCGAATCAAATTGGATATCCCTGATCAGTAAGAATTACAATATTGAACAGACTATTGAACAATTGTTCAACTAGAAAATGAAAACCATCAAATTAAGTAGCAATATGGAGAGGCAAACAAAGAAAACATCCAGCAAGACTTCTGAAAAGACAGTTTTGTGGGTGGAAGAAAAGTTTGGCTTTCACCAAAGCCATCTGAACTTTCTCCAAACTATGAAGGACAACAGCATCTTCCAGAAACCATTGATGTTTAAATGTTTAGAATGTGTGGACTGTTGTAGTAATTCTATTCTATCTTAGCAAAACAAAAATATCTAAGTTGGTGGTATTTTTATAACCATCAACCAAAAATTCTAGACTTTCAAAATAAGTATAACTTTAGCATAATATTATGTCACTGAATTAATTTTGAGCTGTGTAGACCATATTTTGTATCCAAGAATCTTTATTTAAACCTTTCAACATGTACAGGAATTTGGAAACTTTTAGTTTATGTCTTTGTCTAATAAAGAGATACTTCTAAACAGACACACAAAATTCTACATATGTTAATTTTGTAAGGCTCTTAGCAAATAAGAATAAAAAGGAATTCATTAATTCATTTAAAGTTACAAAACAGCAGCTTGGCAGCAATTAGTAGAAAAATACATCTATTTTAGGATAGGAAGGTGGAGGGAATGTCATATTAAAAGAAAAAGAAATAGGATTAAGGGGAAGAGAAAAATATCTATTTATTTACAAACACTGTGATTATCTACATAGAGCAACCAACAGAGTCACCATACATTTTGAGAATTTACTAGAGTTCGACAAGACAGTTGAAACAAGAAGAGACAGACATGCAAACCAATAGTTATAACAAAAGAATGATGCGACAACAGAGGCTTGTACGATGCAGAGGAAGCACAGAGATGAGAACTTTACCTGGAAGTGCAAGGAAAGACTTCTTGGAAGCAGTTCACAAGTTAAATTTCGAAAAATCATGGCACTGTACGTAGATGTGGCTGCTTGCCCGAAGACTAAGAGATATAAAACAGTAGTTCGGAAAGTTTGGAACTGGGAGAGTGGGAAAGGTTGGGCCAGCATGTGAAACTGGAGATGTGGGATAAAGTCTCATCCTGCAGACATTTGTGTGCTAAGCTAAGTTGCTTGGATTTTAAAATGAGTGGAAAGATACTGGAGGGTGTTTGTTGGTGCTAAGATATGGTCCAATTTGGGGTATTGGAAAGATTACTTTGTTAGCAGTACGGAAAATGAGCTGAAAAGGGGTGAGACCAGAGACAAGAAGACATGTAAATTAGGCCATGTGAGCGGTGGCTCACATCTGTAATCCCAGCACTTTGGGAGGCCAAAGTGAGTGGATCAGTTGAGGTTAGGAGTTCAAGACCAGCCTGGCCAATATGGTGAAACCTTGTCTCTACTAAAAATACAAAAATTAGCAGGGCATGGTGACAGGCACCGATAATCCCAGCTACTCTGGAGGCTAAGGAAGGGAGAATTGCTTGAACCCAGGAGGCAGAGGTTACAGTGAGCTGAGATTGTGCCATGGCACTCCAGCCTGGGCAACAGAGCAAGACTCTGTCTCAAAAAAAAAAGAGAAGGCATGTAAGTTATTGCAGTGGTTCAAATAAAAAATGATGATATCATCTGAATTAAGGCTGTATCTGTGGGAATGGAGGAATCTGGAGATGTTTAGAACATAGAAGCAATTGGATTTTAATGAAGAGAGTAAAAAGGAAGGAAGACTCTAATATGGCTCCCAAGTCTGCATTTGAAAACACAGTGACAGTGATGCCATCAGTCTGCCAGGAAAAATAGTCTTCACCAATTACTATCTGGGCCAATGCATTATTCTTAATTTTCTTACATTTTAAGTCATACTAAAAATAATCTACCTCAGGGAGGCTATTCATGTGTCAGGGCAGAGAATATGTGGGATATTTCTGTACCTTCCTCTCAACTTTGCTGTGAACCCAAAATTGCAATAAAGAAATAAAGTATTTAAAAACTAAACAGACAACCTACAGGATGAAATGGTATATTTGTAAACTATGAATCTGACAGGGAGCTGATATCCAGAATTTAGAAGGAACTCAAACAACTCAACAATAGCAACAACAACAACAACAAAAACAAATAGACCCACTAAAAGTGGAAAAGGACATGAATAGATATGTTTCTAAAGAAGACATAGAAATGGCCCACAAGCATATGAAAAAACTGTTCAGCATCACTGATTGTCAGAGAAATACAAATTTAAACCCCAATGAGATGTCATCTTACACCAGTCAGAATGGCTATTATTAAAAAGATAAATAATAACAGATGTTGGTGAGGATGGGGAGAAAAGGGAACACGTGCATTATTGTTGGGAATGTAAACTAGTACAAGCTCTGTGGAAAACAGTATGGAGATTTCTCAAACTAAAAATAGAATGACCATTCAATCCAGCAGTCTCACCACTGGGTGTCTACCCAAAGGAAAAGAAATCATTATATCAAAAAGACACTTGCACTCAGTTGTTTATCACAGCACTATTCACAGTAGGAAATATATGGAATCAACCTGTGTCCATCAACAGAGGACTGGATAAAGAAAATGTGAGATAGATAGATAGATAGATAGATAGATAGATAGATAGATAGATAGATAATGGAATACTATTGAGCCATGAAAAATGGAATCATGTCTTTTGCAGCAACATGGATGGAACTGGAGGCCATTATCTTAAGTGAAACAACTCAGAAACAGAGAGTCCAAAAATGCATGTTCTCATAACTGGGAGCTAAATAATGCATACACATGGACATAGGGTGTGGAATAATAGTCACTGAAGACTCAGACGGGTGGGAAGATGAGAGTTGGATGAGGGTTGAAAATTTACTTAATGGGTACGATGTACATTATTTGGGTGGTGGTTGTGTTGAAGCCCAGACTTCACCACTATATAATATATCCATGTAACAAAATTGCCCTTGTACCCTTTAAATTTATACAAATAATAATAAATAAATAATTAAAAATTTAAAAATGAAAATATTTTAAAAATAATCTACCCAAGGAAGAATCAATAGATAGTGAAAATGACTTTATTACAATTTTTAATAAAAATTTAAATGTAGCACATTCTAATATTTACTTCTCAGTTTTCTGGTTTTGAAGGAGTATGTACCCAGAATAGGCAACATATTTTGAATTCAACTAAACTACACAACAACTGTCATGGGTAAACCTGGAACACGGGCATAATGTAAGTATTGAATCTAGATTTCAGATACATCTCTAATAGTTTTCATTGCTTTAGCAGCTTGCACGTTTTTGGCTCAACGCTCTCTTCACATGATTATCCATTTTGCCACATAGAGCTCTCATTTCATTCGTTTTAATTGCCATATGGTAAAATACATTGTATGATATAATTCACTCATAATAGCTTATTTCGGTTGTTTTCCATTTTTCTCTATTACAATCAATACACCTATAAACATTCTTGTACATGTGTGCTTATATATACTATGCAAAAGTTTCATCTAGACTATATAGCAAGAAGAGGAATCATGAGGTCAGATGGCATGCAAATCTTCATCACTAGATATTGTCAAGCTCCTCTTCAAAGAGGTCGGGCCAATTGCACTCCCACCAGCACACTATGAGAGTTCCACTTTCCTCATTTTCTTGAAACATTAGCTCTTATCAGACTAAATGCCAAGTTGATATTTGAGAAATGCTACCCTGCTGAAGTTTGTGAGTTTTTAAAATTTATTTGACTGCAAACGAGCTGACCATCATTCCACATGACTTCCCACCATTAGGATATTCTTCCCATGAATTGTTTCTTTGCATCCTTTGCCAATTTCTCTGTTAGTTTGTCTTTTTCTTCTTGATTTGCAGTTCTTTGTATATTTTAGATACAAATCTTTGTCAGTCGTGTATGTTTCACATATCTTCTCCCAGTCTGTGGCATGACTATAAAGGGTGTTTTCTGATGTCTATACAGAAAAATTTCCTGTAACATATTCAAATTTATCATCCTTTTCCTTTGTGCTTAGGGTTTTTGTGTCTTGTTGAAAAAAATATTCCCCCATTCTGGTTTCATAAATATGCTATTTTTAAATTTAAAAGTTTTTTCTCATTCAGGGATTTAATCCATCTAGAATTAATTTTTGTGTGCAGAATGAGGCCTAGATCGAATTTTAATTTTTGTGTGGAAAATTATTTATCCTAGCAGAGCACATTTGTTGAATAATCCAGTCCTTCACCACAAATTTCTAATGCTACCTCAGACATAAATTAAATTTTCATGTATATGTGTTGTAAAGGTCCCATCAAAGAAGAGGATTTGATCAGGTGCTTTAAATAGTCTTTAATGAGGGGGACAATTTAGGGAGATAAGGGCAGGGTTAGGAAAACAAACAGTGGTATGGGGGCAACTGGTGACTGCAGGAAGTCCTTTCCACCCTTAGCACTGAAGGGAAAAGGAGGAATTAGCGTTATTGGATCCCACTGAGAGCAGTGTATTGGAGGAGGGCTGCCTAGTGGAGCTGTAACTGCAGAGAAACAGAGCTGCTGCCTTAGAAGCAATCTCGAATCTCCTCCTACCCTCTGATTCTCTGCAGTTGCCATCCATCAGCCAAATCCAAAGTGAAGCCAGAGGTCGGGAAGGTCGGGTTGGCATTCTGTAGATTTCAGCTTCCCGTAGAGCAGGGCTAAGTAGAGGTAAGTAGAGGATAGAGAAAGTGTGTGGGAGTCACCAGCACAGTCAACTTCTTTTGCCACTCAGCATCTATTCTTGCCTTTTAGTGGATTAAAAAAAAAAAGATAAAAAAATAAAGCCCTCATTCTCCACACAGGGGATCCACATAATCCCGTCAATTACAGTATTATCAAGGGATGAGGTTAATTCAATTATACACCCACTTGGAACCTAACTTAAAACATTAGCCTCCACCTGTCCTCTTGACAAAAGGTAATAGGAAAGGGGAGTAAAAGAGAAACCATCAATTTCCATAAGATATCCATGGCTGCTTTTGTCCCTCCTCTGATTATTCTTTTCAATTACCCTGATTACTGTCCCTTTTGTCTCTGATTTCCAAGCAAAAACTGGCAATCACAACTCCCTCTTTCCACCACTCATTTCCTCTTTTATCACTTTGACTACAAAGTGACCCAAAACTTCATTCTTTGGGGATCTGAGCCCTTAGTGGCCCTAATATGTTCCCCACTTTTTTTTATTTCCATAGGTTTTGGGGGAACAGATGGTGTTTGGTTACATGAATACATTCTTCAGTGGTGATTTCTGAGATTTTGATGCACCCATCACCTGAGCAGTATACACTGTACCCAATTTGTAGTCTTTTATCCCTCACCTCCCTCCCACCCTTTCCCCCTGAGTCCCCAAATTCCACTGTATCATTCTTATGCCTTTGCATCCTAATAGTTTAGCCCCCGCTTATAAGTGAAAACATACGATGCTTGGTTTTCCATTCCTGAGTTACTTCTCTTAGAATAATGGCCTCCAATTTTATTCAGGTCACTGTGAATGCCATTATTTCATTCCTTTTTA